>NC_000002.12:21600664-21752179 GCF_000001405.40 Homo sapiens | reverse complement strand
GAGGAAAGGAACCAATAAGAGAATAATTTCCCTTTTAATATGTTCTACTCTTAGCAGGATATGAGTTTCATTTGAACCAAATGGAGAAAACACTCTGATTCAATGGTATAATTGTTTCTGGTGGGCCTTCAGACACCATAAGCAACCATCTGCAAAGAAGAAGAGCTTCAGCAATTCTAAAATCACGTCATTGTCTCACTGCCTACATGTATGTATCATGTCTGTTCTGATAGGCATACAATGTCAGGATTTTATATTGCAGATTATGAAGCATAGAAGACAATGGCATAAGATAAAATGGCAGAATGTAGGGTACAGATTAAAAGCATAGAAGATCAGCAAATAAACATATTAGTAGATCCTCAATACTTTGGAAAAGCTTTCTGCAAAAAGAGAGACTTGAACAACTCTTTAAGAAGGGATATGATTTAGATAATCAGAGAGAGAGGAGCTGGTGGGAAGAGAAAGGACCCTGATAGAGGAACAGCAGACACAAAGAATAAACATGAAAATACAGAAGACAATTTGCTTCTCAAGAGTAATTTAAATTAAAACATATCAAGTTTACCAATAACTTTTTAGATCTAGATGACTTTCAGACTACCCAATGTGGACTGACTACATTTTTGATAAAAAAGGGAAAAAAACATTTATTTTAACTAAATGTTTTCCCACGTTAAAAATCTACCTAATAAAGCATACGTTAACACTAATATTTCGCCATTTTCACAATTGTCTTCAAATACAGTATTTGATTTACTGTAATAAAGTTTACGAACTTGACTTGAATTATTAAAGTCTAATCCCAAAGCAGGATTTTAATTAAGAATGAGAATTGGGGAGTTGTTGAAATGAATTCTGGCTAGTTTCTCCACAGATAAGAGAAAACAGACATACAATATTTTGACCTCCAAAAAGCTCCCCAGACTCACTGATTTTTGATTTTTGACTTATATCAGTCTACTCTGACTAGATTTTGAGAATTCCTAACCAGGCATATTTTATTAAAAATGACATATATAGTTGTACAAATATAAAATATTAAATATGCATAAGTTTTCCTTTTTAAACAAATCTAGTTGGAGAATGTTATTAAATTTTTATTATTTCTTTTGTGTAAATATAAGTATTTAGAGCTATGAATTTTCCTCTGAGCTCCATTTTAACTCTGTCCCATAGGTTGGTGTATTGTTGTTATCCAGAAATTCTGTGATTTGTGTGTACTTTTTAAAAATATTTAACCTAAGTATATTTGAGGAGAATTTTAATTCTAGGTATTTTTTACTATCTTGCTACAATGTCTAAATTTATTACATCAGAATCAGAAAATATATTATCTATACTATCCCCCAATTTTTGATTTATAGAGGCTTTATAGTCAAAAAAAATTTTTAATTGTCACATAAGCATGTTCTCATTGTTACAGTAGTAACATATATATATATATATGCATCTTCTTGCTTACTTTGTTAATATTATATCCTTAAGTGTGCTTTTATCTATTTGTTCCATCTTAGTCTGAAGGGAGTGAATAGAAGTCTCTGAATATTTCCAGGTCGATTCTTGGTATCTGTCATGATTTCCGATTTATGAAAATTACTGCTATGATTTCAGGTGCATAGGTGTTTGTAACTGTTATATCTTCATTGTCAACTATACCCCTTAACATTCTAAACTATTCTTCTATATGTCAGATAATGCTTTTTGACTTGAAGTCTATCTTATCTGAAATTAAGATCAGACTCCTGCTTTTTCGTGTTTGCACTGAGCTGATATAACTTAACTGTCCTTATTTTCTTTGTCTTTTGGTCCTTCTGAGTTGCTTTAAGTGTGTCTCATGCAAATTAGAGTTGCGTTTTGTTTTGCAATTCTATGTACAAATCCTTTTTCTTTAAATAAGTGAGTTAAGCTCTTTTATATTTATTAATATAACAGGTACATTTCCTTTTACTGTCATATTATTTGGGGTTTCTTTTGGTTTATGTTTACTATAGAGTATGTTTTCTTTGTATTGAATGCAGCTCTTCAGATATTTTAAAGATTAGTGTTTCAGATTAGAGTGGTTATCTTTAACATCTCTTTGTAATACTTTTGCCCCTTCTTTTTAGACAATGTCTACTAACTCCTTACTATGAGCAGCAATTTATTATGCCTGTACTCCCTTTTGTTATCGGAAAGGGGTCCCAATCCAGACCCCAAGAGAGGGTTCTTGGATCTCACGCAAGAAAGAATTCAGGGCAACTCCATAGAGTAAAGTGGAAGCAAGTTTAATAAGAAAGTAAAGGAATAAAAGAATGGCTACTCCATAGGCAGAGCAGCAGCATGGACTACTTGACTAAAGATACTTATAGTTTTTGAACATATGCTAAACAAATGGTGGATTATTTATAAAATTTCTGGGAAAGGGGTGGGCAATTCCAGGAACTGAGGGTTCCTCCCACTTTTCGACTATAGAGGGTAACTTGCTGACGTTGCCATGACATTTGTAAACTGTCATGGTGCTGGTGGGAGTGTCTTTTAGCATGCTGATGCATTACTATTAGTGTATAATAAGCAGTGAAGATGACCAGAGGCCACTTGGATCACCATCTTGGTTTTGGTGGGAATGGCTGGCTTCTTTACCGCATCTTTACCTATTTTGTCAGCAAAGTCTTTATCACCTGTATCTTGTGCTGGCTTCCTATCTCATCCTGTGACTTAGAATGCCTAACCTCCTGGGAATGCAGCCCAGTAAGTCTCAGCCTCATTTTACACAGCTGCTATTCAAGATGAAGTTGCTCTGGTTCGGACACCTCTGACGCTTCTACCCATCTTCCTTGCTTTCCTCCACCATCTAAATTTAATCCACACAATTATTTTGCTTAATTCTTTTCCTGTGTTGATAAACTTGCTTAATTTTTTTACTATTTGATTTGTCCACGTGAAAGTAGTATCTTTGATTTTTTAGATGAGGCACAGATGAGTCAATCAGCAAATTTATCCCTCTTAAAACATTTTGTTCTTCTCTATATTTGTATTACAATTTCTGCTTTTTTAAAAACATGTAAAACATTCAATATTGATACTTTTTGGTTCGACTGAATCACAGTTAAGGATATTTAATGGTCAGGACAAGTCCTTTTATTGAAGTTTCCTCTGAAATCTTTATTTTGGCTACAGTTGATCTTTCATAAGTTTCCCCAAGAAGATATAGCCTCCTCATTAAAATATTAAGTGAGACATTATTTCTTCATTAAAAATTCCCTGGGTTTAGGAGAGCAAAGATCACCTGATGGCCATCAAGCAGACCATCCAGCGGCAAATTTCTTTATCTGAGGAATTCATAAGTAATTAGACTTCCCTATTATCTAAAGACAGCATCTGGTACCAGGCTTCTTTTCCACAAATTATAAGTAGCTAGAATGTCTATAGATTTCTGGAATGCATGTTTGTTGAAACTCATTGTGCAACCCTTGCTGACATCAAGGCACCAAAATGTTTACAAACAGAATCGTTTCTCATGACCTATGTGACTAATATGGTCCAAATTACCCCTAAGCTCCCGCTTTAAGGTCTATAAATACCCCTAAGAAAAAATCTACCATGGAGAGCTCAGTCCTTACTTGCTGACGTGACTTGCTGTCTCTTCCACAGTGTTCTTTCTATTTCAAACCTATACTATTGGCAGTAAATTCTTCTTACTACTCACGAGCCACCACTTTCCGTTGCCAGGGCTCTGACACGTCACCCGGCATGGGCCACATCTATTTGTAGATTTAAATTTGAAGAAAAGTTTTGTTGTAGTTAAGTGCCCTTTTCCAGAATATGTCGCAGTTGGTGCTTCATTGTCTCCTGATAGTGAATATTACGGTAAAAAAGTCTGTCGGAAGTCTTACTGTTTTTCCCTTAGAACAACATTGACTATAAATTGTCATCTAAACCACACTTTGAGAGTGAAGGGGGCCACTATTTATGTTTAGAACAACAGGCATAAACTGGAACTGTTTCAGGGTAACTAGGCCATATGGCCTCCCCAAGTACGCATGGCTTGATCTTTTGTTGTGGTTGCCTGAAACAGCCTTTTCAAAATCATCTTGTTATTTTCTTCTTCTTACTCACTTTATATTCATCTTGTTTCTAAATAAAAATATTCATCTTTCATTTTTATATAAATTATGTCTTAGTGTTTATGATTAATTTTCTCTTAGTAATTTTTCAATATGATTCATTTTCCTTTTATTTCAGAAAAGGTGACTTATATTTTTAAATATCTGTAATATCCGTTTTATTTTCCTTTCCCAATATTCTAAAGCCATCTTTTTTTCTCTAATTTCTCTATTTCTTATTTTTTCACTTTTATCTTGATTGCTTATGTGTTATATTGTTAATTAATGTTTCCCAATTAATCATTCTTCCTGATGTCTACACTCTTTTACAGTCTCCTCCCATACTGACTCTTGGCTTAGTTATGTGACTCATTTTTGCCAACAGGACATCAGCGAACTTGACAAGCATAGAGGCTTAATAAGCACTTTCACACTGGGGTTTGCCCTCTGGTAATGCTACCATCACCTTGTGAAGAATCCCAGTTTAAATTTCTAGAGAATGAAAGACCACATGTAGAGAGACGTTCAGTCAGCCACTCAAATGAGCCCAGATGAAACCAGTAGGAGAACTGCCCATCCAACCCACAGAATCATGAGAAACAGTAAATTATTGCTTTAAGTCACTAAATTTTAGGGTTGTTATGCACTATTAGGTAACTGATAGAAAAATTATTACCTAGAAGTGTGGCATGACTGTAATAAAACCCAAAACATGTGGCATTGGCTTTGGAAATAGGCAACAGATGGAGGCTTGAGAAGTGTGAGGGGTCTGTTGGCAATGCCTGAAGGAATGGCAAAAACAGAACATAGCAAAAACATCAAACCAAAACAGCAGCAGCAACAACAACAAAAACTATTGGCAAAGGTTAGAAATAGGTTTGGGAAATTATTAGTGGCAGAAAAAAATAACAGTCCATATTTTGTAATAGCAAAACATTTGGCAAACCTGTCACATGCAATTACATGGAAGCTAAAATTATACCTGATGAAATGCTAGCTCTGGCTAAGGAGACTTTTTGCCATAATGTTACAAGTGTCAATTGGCTTCTTTTCCATGCATATATCAATGCATAGTGAGACAGACGTGCTAAAGAGATGACTGGTTAGTTTATAACAGGAAATTAGGCATGAAGAAGTGGTGGACATTTAAGGGTTGGAAAATAAAATGATTTCACATTTCCAGATTTTCCAGTTGGAAAACTATTCTCAGTATGGTAAATAGCCTCGGGGAAAAAAAAATCAAATCAAGATTATGCATATAAGACATCTCTTAAAAAGTTTATTTTATTCAATGTATTTATTTTTATTTTTTTTTTTTTGCAGATGGGGTCTCACATGTTGCTGAGAGAGGAGAAAGGAAGGAACCAGTCAGGCAGGCAGGTAGGGTGGGTCCTCGGTTGAATACTTTCAAACCGAAGAACAGCCTGCAGGTACAGATATGGGAACTTACTTGGAGGGCTTGCCTAAGACATGCCCACACCCACACAGATAAGAAAGTCTAGACAGGTGACTTTCCCAGACATACCCCACAATGGAACATCCCCTGACACATGCACAGTAAGGGGAACAAAGCAACAACATGGAGTAACTCAAGCTAAGGGCTAATGCTCATTAGGAGGATGGGGTGGAGCTACCAGAAATTCACACATTATGCAAATGAGACACCCAGCCCTCTTCAGTTTTCTACAAAAGCCTTTGCAGTCAACCGTAAAATGGCAACCCTCTTCTGGGTCCCCTTTCTGCAATGGTGGTGAGCTTTCTTCTTTTGCTTATTAAACTTTCACTCCAACCTCACCCTTGGTGTCCATGCTCCTTAACTTTCTTGGTCTTGACACAAAGGACTCTGGGTACTAACTCAGGCAATGAGACTGCTACGCTGTGGTGCACTGGTGAGACTGTAACACTGCCTGGGATGGAATGCAGTGGCAAAACCATAGCTCACTGCAAACTCTACCTCTTGTGCTCAAGCAATCCTTCCACCTCAGACTCCTGAGTAGCTAGGACTAAGGCACAGGCCACCACACCCAGTTATTTATATTTTGTAAAGACAAGGTCTTGCTATGTTACCCAAGCTGGTCTCAAACTCCTGACCTCAAGGGATCCTCTTACATTGGCCTCCCAAAGTACCAGGAGGCCTGTGAATGAACCAGTGCACATAGTCCTCTTTTTAAGACCTCAGAAAAATCAAAAGTGATTTTTAGTAGACTCTCTCAGCTGGACAAATGGGCTTCTAGAAATTTTAAAAAACATTATCTCATAGCATACTGACATGCCCAAATTAGACTGAAGTTTATCTTAAAAAGAGTTATGGATGTGAATCCCAGTCACACTCACAAGAAATCATTAGAATTTTTCAGGTAGTTGCATAAGTTTGGACTAAAAAGAAGAGAGGTTAAAATAAAAAGAGGTCTCTGGGACTTCATCTTTCTATATACAGAAAACTGGCTGATAAAATTACTCAGCTATTATATTTCTTAAAGAAAAATAAGCTCTAAGAGAACTGAACCAAGAGCCCACTGGGAAGAATCAAGGCCCATGGGCAACAATAGATTAGAAAACAACTTCAGAAGAGCAGAATCAGCCTTAATTAAGGAGCATTCCCTGCCCCCAAGTAAGGATTCCTAAAAACATATGCTTAGTTAGATGTCAGAATCATTATGGACCAGTGATTGCTGTAAATTTCCAACTTATTTTCTTTCTATGTGAGAATGTCTATTGTGGTTATACTGTTCCTGTTCCATTATTCTATGCTTTATCTGTGGGGTAAGGAGGAGCAGATAACTTGTCTTTTTGTTCATGGGTCTCTGTATCAACAGAAGCTGATTGTATTAGAAGTCCTCACCCCATGGCTTCATATCTTTGGCATTAAGATTCCATTCAAGATGGCAAACACTCATTGATACTTACTGTGATTCAGAGCAAGTACTAAACTTTGCATCAGACACCAGGATCAAAAAACTACATCTGAGGAGCATTTTCTGTATTCAGATGTAATGTACAAAATCACAGTCTTTGAGCCTGAATGGACTCCAACATAAAATCATTAGAGCCAGCCAGGGGTAGCTCATGCCTGCAATCCCAGAACTTTGGGAAGCCAGGCTGGGAGGATCACTTGAACCCAGGAGTTTGAGACCAGCCTGGGCAACACAGTCAGACCCCCATCTCTACAAAAATTTTAAAAACTGGCTGGGCGTTGTGGCGTGCATCTATAGTCCCAGCTACTCGGTAAGCTTAGGTGGGAGGATTGCTGGAGTCCAGGTGGCTGAGACTGCAATGAGCTGTGATTGCACCACTGCATTCCAGCCTGGGTGACAGAATGAGACCCTGTCTCAAAAAAAAAACAAAAAACAAAAAACAACAACAACAACAAATCGTTAGGACCAAATAGACTGCTCTGGACTTGGCTCTGTGATTTTTTGGCTTTTCTTTTCTTTCCGTTTAAATTTCTTTCTTTCCTTTTTTAAATTTTGGGGTTTAGTTTGTTTTTGTTTTTTTTTTTTTTTGCTGGTGGGATACCAAAAAATATGACATAAGCAGGGGAATAATAAGTACTTGTATATTTGAACTCCTTTTTGAATGTTGTCATGACCATTATGTGAAGTCTGGTCTAGACTCATTAAAGGTGAAAGAACACGCTGAGACAATGTCCCAGCTGTACCAGCCACCCCAGCAGGTCTCGGCGCACAGAAAACCCACAGCTGAATGCTGCTTCATGAGAAACCCAGGCAAGCCCATTAGAACAACTGCCCAACCAGACCATAAAACTGTGAGGAAAAAAAAAAACACAACTCATTATTTAAGATGACTAAGATTTGAGATGGTTTGTTACATAACAGACAAAAAGGTTCCTTATTCTACTTACCATCTCCCTTTGGCTCCTTGGAATTTAATCTTCATTTCTTATTTTATTTTTCTTTTTTTTCCCCTATATTTTTCCAATATTGATTTCACCTCCTTCTGTTATTTAGCTTTAATGGCAGGCCTTCACTTCCCTGAGTTCTTTACTTCTGCTGAGTATTTTCCTTCATAGCTGCCATTGATAGTTTAAGATTATTCATCTGATATTTTAAGACTTTTATTGGAATATCAAGAAATACATTTCTTTCTGCTTTCTGGCCACATTTTGCCTTAAGTGTGTTGTTTTATTTCTTTATTTTTCTTTTGGTAGAGAAGCTTTTATTGCTATTTTACACATTTTTTCTTATAAACATATTTGTATAGCTGTTAAACTGGTTCCTTTAATTTAGAATAGCAATAAGTTAGATTTTCACTGGAATAGTTACTTTCAAGAGATAAGGGATAATGCAGGGAAGGGAAGGGTCACCCCTACTGGCTGCTATAAAAACAATCTCTTTTGTATATCTCTTTTATCTCTTTTATATTTAAATAAGTTCATTCTATGAAGCCAGCATAATCCTGATACCAAAATCTGGCACAGATGCAATGAAGAAAGAAAAGTTCAGGCCAATATCCCTAATGAACATAGATGCAAAACTTACTAACAAAATACTAGCAAACTGAATCCAGTAGCACATCAAAAACTCAATTCACCACAATCAAGTAGGTTGAGAACCAAATCAAGAACACAATCTCATTTACAATAGCCACAAGTAAAATGAAATATCTAGGAATCCATCTAACTAAGGAGGTGAACCATCTCCACAAGCAGAACTGTAACATACTGCTGAAAGCAATCAGAGAGGACACAAACGGAAAAATAATCCATGCTCATGGACTGGAAGAATCAATATTGTTAAAATGGACATATGGCCCAAAGCACTTTGCAGATTCAATGTTATCACTATCAAAATTTTCAGAGAATTAGAAATATCTATTTTAAAATTCATTTAGAACCAAAACAGTGCCCAAATAGCCACAAATTCTAAGCAAAAAGAATAAAGCTGGAGGCATCACATTACTTTACTTCAAACTATACTATAAGGCTATAGTAACCAAAACATCATGGTACTGGTATGAAAACAGACACATAGGCCAATGAAATAGAATAGAGAACCCAGAAATAAACCCACACATGTACAACCATCTGATCTCTGGTAAATTTGACAAAAAGTAAGCAATGGGAAAAGGACTTCCTATTCAATAAATGGTGCTGAGATAACTGGTTAGCCATATGCAGAAGAATGAATTTGGACCACCACCTCTCACATTACACAAAAATTAACTACAGATGGATTAAAGACTTAAACGTAAGTCCTCGAACTATAAAAATCCTAGAAGAAAACCTAGGTAATACGCTTTTTGACATAGGATTTGGTGAAGAATTTTTGGCTAAGTCCCCAAAAGCAATTGGAACAAAAATGAAAAAAGACAAGTGGGACCTAATTTAATTAAAGAGCTCCTGCACAGCAAAAGCTAGTATCAAAGAGTAGACAAACAGCCTACAGAATGGGAGAAAATATTTGCAAACCATGCACCTGATAGAGGCCTAATATCCAGAATCTACAAGTAACTTAAATCAATAAGCAAAAACCAAAAAATCAAATTAAAAACTAGGCAAAGGACATGAACAGACACATTTCAAAAGAAGATAAACAAATGGCTAACAAACATTTGAAAAAATGCTTATCACTAATCAGATAATTGCAAATCAAAACCACAATGAGATATTTCACACCAGTCAGAATGGTGATTATTAAAATGTGCCAGCATTTTAAAATATTACTTTCTTAGGTCTCTACCATTAATCCTATGATTCACTTATTGTTGAATTCAACACCAGTTGTAGTCACTAAAATACACTGCCCCTGGATTTTAAATGACCCATTAATTTATAATGTTTACATGTTATTTTAATGATGTTGTGTGAGATCTGCTACTTCTTTTTCCACTTTGTGTAGCACAAAAATCTCATTTGATCAGCCTGGGCATGGTGGCTTGTGCCTGTAATCCCAGTACTTTGGGAGGCTGAGACGGTTGGATCACTTGAAGCCAGGAGTTCGAGACCAGCCTGGTCAACATGGCAAAACCCCGTCTCTACTAAAATACAAAAACATTGCCAGACATGGTGGTGCACACCTGTAATCCCAGCTACTTGGGAGGCTGAGGCATAAGAATCACTTGAACCCGGGAGACAGAGGTTGCAGTGAGCTGAGATTGCACCACTGCACTCCAGCCTGGGTGACAGAGCAGGCTGTCTCTGTCTCTGTCTCAAAAAAGAAAACAAAACAAAACAAAACAATTCATTTCATCTAAGACCCTCATATGGTAGTTTCAACTTAGGTGGGGTCCTCTTTCTATAAGTAAATAATTTCCGGAGACTTTTGAAATCTGTACTCCAAATACCTCCTCCATACACTATTCTTCCATTGCCCCATCATCTCTCCTTCCCACTAAAGGCAAAAGTATGGCCTGTCTCTGCTGATCCCATTGCTTTTAAAAGTACTTAACAACAATGGAGTTTACAAGGTTTATATACATCTTAATTTCACCGAAAATGAGACTCTTTCCATTTATTTTCATTTTCTATGCATTTTAGTTTTCTAGAGAAATGAGAAAATGAAAAACTAAGCTGCCATCATGAGCATTTTAGAAGCCTCCTCCTATCTTTTTTTTGTTTTTCACTAAGATTCAATTCAACATACCAAACACTCATTGATACTTACTGTGATTCAGAGCTTGTGCTTAGCATCAGATACCAGAATAAAGCCTAATTAAGGTAATCTAGGACATCAGAGTCCAGAACTAAAATGTGACAGAGTTATGTATATTTGCAAATAGGTGCAATGTCAGTTGAAAGATTCTCAACCAGCAGGTATAAGAAAAGACTCTTGGTCCATATAAAATTATACAATTGGTGAATATTTGATAATAAACAAATTAAAACATAAGATTATACTCTGCATGATTGCAGAACATAGAATCATTAACATTGCATTATTTTGATGCCTGGTGTGTCTTCTCATTGTTAGGAATCAATAAAAACATACCCTGTCTTTACAACTATGGTTATTAGCTTTGTTGATAACAAGTGCATCTTAAGTTAGAAATATTGTGCATTTCTCATTTTTAATCAGAATCTTGGTGTATTAGGACATAAAAATGATGGTAGTTTTCACAAGGCAAGTTTTCAGCAGAGGAAGCATAGAGTGTATAAATCTAAAATATTGCTCTACTTTCTTCCATCTAAAAGAGGAAGCAGACCGTTTACATCTTTTCCATGAGCTCCAACCTGGATTGTAAGAAGCTGAAATGTACTGATACTCAAATTTCTGCAACACAAATTTTTATCTTGAAACAGTCTGTAAGATCTCTTACCACATTGCCAAGCCAAACAAATGAATATTGAAGTTTATTAAAACCACATGATCTAGAAATTTTGGAGTTGTCTCTTTGGTCAGAATGAAGAAAGCTGAGTCAGCTCTTCCATGGCTGTTCAGAATCAGTGATATCCTTTCAAAACTATGTAGCAGGTACTGGAAGATTGCCAGCCACACTGTCCATGATTACTACACAACTGATAAAAACTATGGACGATTCTAAGGACAGCAAGTCCCTGGGTTTTAATATATCAAGAGGTCTTTTTGAAAACTGGATAGGCTGTTGAGATCTTTGAATTACGGAAAATATTCCTTGCCAACTAAACTCCAACTGGCAGAAAAATTTCATTTATTGGAGCACATATGGAGCAACTTTAGTTATTGACAGCAATGCAGTGTTATTTTGTTGGAAGAAGAATGGAGATACATAATTCACCTGGACTCATTGCTTCATATATCAGTATTCAGGGTCCACAAAATCTCTCCCATAGTCCTAGTAGAATTAATGAGTAAGCACATGCAGGTTGATGAGATTTATCAAAGCCAGGGTCTTAAACTACTGACTATTTACAGGCTTTTTTTTTTTTTTAAAGTCAAAATCCAATACTAAGTTACTCTCCACTACACAGAATTTTACTGGCTTCCTAGGGGAAAAAAAATACTTAGAGTACTTCACTGAACTTCAGGAAATTTTTTTTTGCTTTTTTATGAGTGAAGGGAAAGCCCATTTTCAGAACACTTATGAGAGAGAGATTTATTCATAGAATCCTTGAAAGATATTTTTGGCCATATGAATGAGGCAGATCTTCTGAATCAAGGGCTTGAATTAACTATTTTGAATGATACTAAAACTCTGTGAACAATTCTGGATAAACTGCCATTTTAGAAGTGGGGTTTGGATGCAAACAACTTTGCAAACTTTGAAATGTGGGAGGAAGAACTTCTGAGGACTGGTGTCCGGAATAACTGAGCATGCAGATTTTTCTGCAGTCAAAAATCTGCATAAACATTTTGCAAGTTTTAAAGGCAGTTCTGTTCAGACAGCTCTTAAATTTCCTTTCTATCAAATATTCCAATATTTTGTATTTTTTTTTAATATTTAAGCCTTTAGAACCTTTGGAAATTATTTTGCTGTATTATGTGAGGAAGGAATCTAATTAATTTTCTTCCACATAGTAAATAGTCTGAATTTTATTTGCTGAGTGCAGGACTTTTTGTTTTCAGAGGCTTCTTTAAAAAATTATATATCAAGTTATTATATGGTACAAGGCATTTTACCACATAATGGTAAATTTCTGATAGGAAAGAACAGGAGGAAAGAAAGAAGGATAAAAGGAAAAACAGGAGAAAGGAAAGAAAGGGTGGATCAAGAAGGAAAAGAAAGAACATTGGGCACTGTGCTAAGGGATTTTGCATAAACTGTATATAACTTATTTTTAAATTAATCCAGTATTATATACTTTTATGAACATCTTTTGCAAATTAGAAAACTAAAGTTCAGAAAATTTATTAGCCAATTTGGGCAGAGATATGTAGGGAGATGTGCTCAAATAAATTATTTATTATGGAAAACTAAACAATTGTGATAGGATATTGGATGTAATATATTATATAGGCCTATGTATTTATTCTGATGTTTTTTAAAAAATTGAAATTTCATAGAAACAATGATTTAATAGGAGTTTTTATTAACTCAAGTAAGTAACATAGAGCTAGTGCATCATTAAAAATACATTAAACAATTTCAGCTTTGCCCTTACTCATCTTGTCTTTGTTGCTACCGGTGTGTTATTGGATGCCTCTCTCTCAAAGACAATGGCTAAAGATATGGCCTTCACCACCATAGTTCCCATAGCCTAGACTTGTAACATTCTGGAGATTGAAGAACTGTCATTTCTTGGTGCTCTGATACCTCAATCTTTCAAATAAATATAGTCATGCTGATGGCATATTTTTAAAGAATCAAAGTTATCTTTCAGAATTTGTATTATTTCATTTGAAATAAAGTAAAATTTGTTGTTGAAAATTTATAAATTAGATTAAACCTTAAATAGTTGTCCAATGAATCTTCATTAAATGTCAACCATAATCTTTTCCCAAACTACTACTTAGACAAAGCTTCTTCAAGCATATTTTCTTCTCTCAGCCATATGGAAAACAGTCATTTGGGAAAAAAGTCAGCAGTTTATCACTTCACTCAATATATATATTTTAATGGATATCATATATATAGAGCTCCTATATGAAAATATTGGGTTATTCTATATAGTTTGTTTGACATATTTTTAAACAACACTATATGAATATCATAAAAATATTTTATATAATTATTCAACAAAATTATCTTTATTTCTCGTTATGAAAATTGAAAACCCATACACAATAAAGGCATAATAAATCCTTATCTACCTATCACCTAATTTCAATAACTATCAACATTTGGCCAATTGTGTTTTATCTACATCCCCATCAACCTTCCCACTCCCCACACTGGGCTCTTGGAAAGCAGATTCTAGGCATTATATTACTTCACTAGTAAATACTTCAGTATGTGTTTCTAAAAGACGACATTTTTTAAAGGTGCATGTTACAATGCTATTATCACCCCAGAATATTTAAAATAATTCCTTAACATAATAAAATGTCCAGTCAGTGTATATATTTTCCTAATTGCCTCATAGTGATTGTTTTAGAGGTAGTTTGTTAAATCAGTATCCAAAGTCCTAATATGGAATATGGTTGATTTTTTTCTTAAATCTCTTATAATCTGCCCATCTTGTTTTATTTCTCCCCCCATCATTATTGTATAGCAGCATTTCAGAGAGTTCACCATATTTCACTCTGTAGATATAACACAATTTATTCAAACATTTATTATTGAGCATTTAGATTATTTCCAATTTTTCTTCTATTAAACAATGTTTCAATGAATATGCATATAGATAAATATTTGAGCACACCTAGAATTATCCTATTAGGATAAATTCTTAGAAGTGGAATGCCTCATGGGTTTTTTTTTTAAGCTTTTGATACAGCTTGTCAAATTACTCTTCAAAATGATTGAGCTAATTTACACTCCTACCAGCAGTATGAGCGTATCTATGCCCCTACACCCTCATCAACACTGCATAATATCTTCATTTTAAATATTTGCCAATTTGATAGACCAAAAAGATAGCTTGCTGTTTTAATTTGCATTTTTTGGATTAATAGTAAGAAAGAGTGCCCTGAATCTTTGAATCCTTGTTCACTGCTTACTGAGGCCATAAAACCACTTTCTGATAAGTCCACAAAGGAGATATATGTTTAAAGGGTAAGGCTAGGAAAATGTAGACTTTCATTACTAGCCTTAAGCAGAAATTCCGGCACTGGTGAGACTATAAACTGAAGAGATTTTTTTTATATCTTTATTTTCTTTGTTATAAGGTAAGTTTAAATAGTCTTTCCTTTACTTTGTCTCCCTAGAATGATGACACTTTCCAATTGGGTTGCAGCTGTACACTCTGCATATTGCATCGGACACACCATTCCAAAAATGGATGGCTCCTAACTATCCTTTAATGTTTTTGTCACACACACACACACACACACACACACACACACACACACACACCACCCTCAGTATTATGGCCAAATTGTTATTTTGAATGTTCCTGCTCAGAAACAGTGTTTCTCCTTCCCTAAGGTAGAAGTCATCAGGAGTGTGAGTAAGATAGAGTGGTACAGATTGTGGCAGGAAAGAACTGACTTCTACTAGAATATAGGACATGCAGCCAACAGTAAGGTTAAACTTTTCATCTGTATGTTCTCTGGTCATTAGGGTATGTCTTTTGTGAATCACCTGTTCATTTTCCTTGCCTATCAATGAATGATAAACTAATGAAAAAATGAATAATCACATTTTGGGTATAGTCTTTCAACCAGTTACAAATCAACCAAATTGCACTGTCTTTTAGCCCATATTTCATTCTCTTGTCAGCTTTTATTGCAAGATATATCCAGTCAGTAGCCATCTATTTTAAAATAGCCTTTTATGTCTAACTTCTTTCTCAAAATTCTTTAAAGCAACTTAGATAGTCAGAGTCTTATCTCTGTGTACCATCTAAATGAGGCCAGGCGAGATCCTACTGGTCTAAACAGCAACAGACCAAAGATCACAGAATTACTGACCACGGTTTTGCTTTCTTCAATGTTGTATATATATATATATAAAAGGGTCCCTCCTTTGGAGAATAACCTAACCGTATAGGCCATCCATTTTTATCCAATTCACTTCCCCTCATCCAAGCTCTCCCTCCACTAGTAATTTCCTTTCTCTTGGGTAATCAATCTCACTCCAAGAAGAATTGCAATAACAAAGCCCTTTATCCCATCTTTTCACAATTGACTTAAATATGAAACACTTTTTGTTGTTTCCTATAGTGCTTAATTTGTTCAAGGAAATAGTGTTCTGTAGACAATGTAGACTTGAAATATTACAACAGGCTGGCAAGTAATCTTTTTACATGAATTATACTGTATACTATCAACAAAATTTATATGATAGGTAGATATGATATATATGATTTTTATGACCTATAGAACAGCATTTCCTAAACTGAGCTCCATAGAGCCCTCAAACTCAGATTATTAATCTACATGCTCAAAAATGCTTTTGTATGGTGATATGTATTTTGGAAATGTTTCTTGCATTTATTTAACATTTATAATGTATATAATATTAGTATATCAAACTCTCTGAGAAATTTTGCATAGAAGAAACCTTACCTCATTTAACCAGATTTTCCCACTTTTATTTAACTACAGAATTAAGTATTTTATTTTTTTACCTTCATTTGATTTTATTGGATTACCCATTAATAATTTCTGCAGAATTATTTGGGACACACTGGTATAACATAAGTGAACATATTTGGAATGACGTATGAGAAAACGTTCTAGACTTAGCATAGTTTTTTGGTCATTTTTCTTACCTCTTTATTACTCTCCAGGGAGAGTTCGGGAGACAGCAATAAGGAGGTAAGAAAGCACAAGTGGGTGCCATATCTTCATTCATATCAAAACCTTATGCCTCCTTGAACACAGTTTGTTTTATAATACTCTGAAGTATTTTTACATGCTGTCTACTCTCTCTAAAACATTATCCCTCAATTTCATCTGTACATTCCCACCACGTTCTCTAACACCCTAAATCATATGACAGTTATTCCACACAACCTGCCGTGATACCAAGATAATACTCTTTTCATCTTGGATACCACAGAATTAAATATATCCCCTTATAATATTCTATTAACACTACATTCTCTATATATTGGTCTGTTTCCCACCTTAGGCTACTTTTTTTCCTTAAATTCAGAGATCACATCTTATTTTATACCAACTGACCAATGACATGTCTGACCATAGAAGGTAATCCATGTCTGTTTTATAAGTTTACTTTTTTGCTCATTCAATGAAGATTTTTTTTCATTGAGTTATACCATGTATTCTGTTCTCCATGTTCATCTCCTTGCACTGTCTCAAGATTGCATTGTGCTTTCTTAATAGAAGGCAAAAATAGTTTCTTTTCTATGAAAATGATGAAAAGCCTGTTTGTGTAAATGTCTGGGTATTCTTTAAAGTTGCGGGGTACGTGTGCAGGACGTGCAAGTTTGTTACACAGGAAAACGTGTGCTATGGTGGCTTGCTGCGCCTATCAACCCATCACCTAGGTATTAATCCCAACATGCATCAGTTATGTTTCCTAATGCTCTCCCTCCCCGCACTCCACTCCCAAACAGGGCCCAGTGTGTGTTGTTCCCCACCCTGTGTCCATGTGTTCTCATTGTTCAACTCCCGCTTATAAGTGAGAACATGTGGTGTTTGGTTTTCTGTGCTTGCGTTAGTTTGCTGAGGATAATGGCTTCCAGATCCATCCATGTCCCTGGAGTTCCCAAAGGACATGAACTCATTCCTTTTTATGGCTGCATAGTATTCCATGGTGTATATTCACCACCAATCAATTTGGATTGATTCCATGTCTTTGCTATTGTAAATAGTGCTGCAATTAACATACGTGTGAATGTCTTCTGCACAACAAATTAAACTGTCATCAGAGTGAACAGGCAACCCACAGAGTGGGAGAAAAAAATTGCAATCTATCCAAATGTCTGGGTATTCTGTTAGGTTGGCTGTTATTGGAGCCAGGGAACTATGAACTCTCAGAATTAGAAGAGCTATTCAAGCCATCTGGTTCTTCTACTCTTGTCTCTTCATTTATTGCAGTGCTTATTTGGATTTTTGTTGCCTTTTAAAGAAAATATTTTTAAATGTAAATTTTATTGTGGATTTTTGCTTCCATAGAAATACATACAAACATCTATGAAACAAACTGACAGTCATAAATTCATGAACCTCAAGGTCTCTTCAAGATTACTGATGCCATTTAGAAATTGTTCTCTATCTTTAATTTTCATAGAGGACTGAGGTCAGCAGTAAACCCAAGTGTGTTGGTGGGGATACTGTCAAATGTGGCTCTAACAGTAGTTTAATCATCTTCTGTTTTTAAGTTACTCCTTAATAAGGGATACTGCAAGCTTGAGAATGAGGAATAAAATTATTCAATGTATGTTCTTTTAGTCACCCTGTTATTAAGGGCTAATATATCTGACAAGCCACAAGGAAATCAGTAGTTTTAGTTTAAGCATTTGAAAAAAAAAATCCCTCTGCTATCATTATCAACTCAGATATTCAGAAATCTGAATCCCACCCAGAAAACCTCATTTTTAATGTTTCTATGTTTAATTTTAGGCACTCTACTTAAAGAAATAAAATATCACATACCGTGTGAATTATTTGCATTATGTCAGCCTGGAATCAGCAACCGGATGCAAGAATTTCATGAAGTTAGAGTGAATGACAGTCACTCTTTAAGGGTATTGGGCATAATCTATGTTATATCATTTTAATTTCTTAATCTAGTACAATGCTAATAGGTAATGCCCACTGTTTGTTCCCATTCATTAATTGATTCATCAGTGCATTCAATCAATTATACAGTAAAATAGGCACTGAATGCTTATTATGGACATGTTGGTGTGTAAGGCACATGTTACTTATTCATCATCCTTAACATTAAGGTTTCTGAGGTTCTGCACAGGTCAAGGGCACACAGACTAGTAATTTACTTTGAGAAACTAATTGCCTTAAGGAATCTTTTTAGAGACAAGAAAGTCATCAAGCTTAGATGAACTTAGTGGAAAATTGGTCCCGAGTTTATATGTAATATACTGATATGTTCTCACTATGTGTCCCCACCCAAATCACATCTTGAATTGTAATCCAAATTATAATCCCCACATGTTGCAGGAGGGACATCTTGGGAAGTGACTGAATTATGGCGGGCAGGTCCCCCGTGCTGTTCTCCTGATAGTGAGTTCTCACGAGATCTGATGGTTTTATGAGGGGCTTTAACCCGCTTCGCTCTACATGTCTCTCATTTTTCTCCATCCTGCTGCCATGTGAAGGAGGACATGTTTGCTTGCCCTTAGGCCATGACTGTAGTTTTCTGGGGACTCCCCAGCCCTGTGGAACTGTCAGTCAATTAAACCTCTTTCCTGTATAAATTACCCAGTCTTGGGTATTTCTTCATAGCAGCATGAGAAGGAACTAATACATGTACAAACACTGGATTATTGTATATCTGTATTGTCCAATAGGGTAGTGACCAGCCACAACTCATTGTTGAATGCTTGAAATGTGGCTACTTTTAATTGAGGTGTGTTGCACATGTACAACATACATGTAATTCTGAAGACAGCGTAAAAATAGTGTAAAGTATGCCATTTATAATTTTAAATGTTAAAATAATGTTTGAGATATACTGAATTAAGTAAAACATTATTACAATTGATTTCACTTGTCTTTCTTTACTTTTCTCACGTGGCTATCAGACCATTTTTTAAACTGTTATTTTAGGTTTGGAGTTACATGCGAAGGTTTGTTAGTTACATAAGTAAATATGTATCACGGGGGTGTGTTGTACAGATTATTTCCTCGCCCGGGTTTAAGTCCAGTATCCGATAATGATCTTTTCTGCTCCTCTTCCTCTTCCCCCCCTCCCCTTCAAGTAGACCACAGTGTCTATTGTTTCCTCACATATATGGTTTGCATTATATCTCTATTGGCCAGCAATTGTAGAGATTTGTATCCATAGCAGATATTGTGGGTTTGCTCACACATCAATTCCTATGATATATTCCTATAATGTAAAAGCTAAAACTAAATTTACTGTCTCTAAAATTTCTTGCAGCTGTGGTTTCAGAGATGATGTACTCCCATGAATCAGAAGCACAAGCAAGAGGCTGAAATTAGGACTACAGAGGAGAAATACAGACTATGGACACCCACTTTTTTTGTCTAAATCATAAAAGTAGTGACAGGGTTCTGAGCTAGCAGCTGCATCAATGGATTGCCAATCCCACAGGCAAATGTCTGGATTATGGCAGAATAATCAACCCCCCTCATGGCTCATTTCTATCGTATAACTCCAACAATTACTTTTAGAATGTCCTTTTAGCCTTGTCAACAATTGTATAAGTCATTTAAGAACCTTTAAAAACCCTATGTCTTCTTAAATTAGCTAAAGTTGATTCTGTTCTCTGCAAATTGAGCACTTCCCAAAGCAGCATTGGTGGAATAGGCATTATCCAATTAACACTAAAAATGCAATTTAAAGCACACATACATAAAAATCACTTGTTAATATCTGTTTCTCTGTTGTCTCTTACAGGTACAGACAAGTATAGAAGAGCATTTAATAAGCATTGAATGCATTTATATAAAATAAAGAAATATAATCAAACAAATGACCTGAAGTCACGTTATAATTTTAATGTGACTTTTTACTAAAGTTTAAGTCATGATCGAATAAACTCTAAAAAGTTGCAAAAATCACATTATTTTCTGTGTGTATACCGATACTTTTTTTTCTTAAGAAGTAAGTCATCAGCTGGGCTTTGAGTATTCTTCTTTATATCAGAAGTGTAGTTTGTTATCTCTTTCCATTTTAATGACTACACACATTGCTTTTGATATGACAGAACTAATTCAAACCTTTTAGAAATGGCAGCAGAGTTTCAGATAAGGACATGATCCTGATTTATCTACCTAAGGGCTTGGAACCTTGGTTTATCATTTAGTTCATGGCTTGGCACATTATCAAGAAAATCAGAAAATATTCTGTGAAAGTCTCATAAAGCTAAATCTGGCCATGATCAAGCATCTGTAGGTGGAACAGAGGGCAAATGTGTTAAGCATTGAGCTGGACTGCTCTCCTGCTGGCCAAAGTCTAAGCCACAACTTCCTTGGACCCTAAGTGCTGCAGGTCAGAAAAAGCACCAGACGATGCCATAAAATCGAAAACAACAACGCCAGCTCTGAAGGGTTGTCTAGTTTAATGTTCCCAGATAATTAGCTCTAAAAGAGGACTTTGAATTTTCTGTGCTTTTTCAGCATGCAAATTTTTAGCTTTCCAAATCAGTGGTAATCATACTAATAACTACTTTGTGAAAATAGAAGAGATGTACTTCTATAACCATTTGCAGTCTCAGTCTGGCCACTCTTCTGCAAAACTCTTTTCCATTTTTAGCTACTATTCCAACTGTGATGTCATTGCCCCACTCCTCACACATTTACTGCCTAGCCTCCATGAAGCAGAAAGGGTGAGCTGAAGAATTGCAAAAATGTCAGTGTGCAGATTTTCTTGCTTTTAAGAGGTCTGACTTTATAAAGGGGAAGAGAAATACAGTGGCTAGAAGATGCAGTATTAAGTGAGAGATTTTTGGTGCATCCCTGAGTGTGAGTTCACATGCATGTACATGTTAAGATCAGAGATAAAAGAGTACGTAAGATTGATAAAAAATGACCCCAAAGAGAGATAGTATGAAGATGCAGAAGAGAGGAAATGAAGTTTTGGGGAATTGAGTTTGACCACACTTAAGTCATTGTCCTCACCATAGGCAATGCTGCTATAAGGCTCTGTTTAATTCAGAGAAATAAAACTTTATGAAATAGAATTTTAAAAGCCATTTGTATCTACAGAGACCTAACTCAGCCCTTAGGTATGATTAATACTCCAGTGGACCTGACCCAAAGTGAAATCATTAAAGCCTATATGGTTCATATGTTGGAATGATTCATTTCTGTAGGAGATAGAGGAATAAAGAGAATTATATAAATACAATGATCAATCCAAAAGAGGAACTGGAAAGTTTAAAACTCATCTTTAGCTGCCAGTGGAGGCTATCCATTGATCTTAGCATATATAGCACTGATATCAATTAATCTCTTAATGCAGAGCAATACTTCTCTCTCATCTCACAGATCTAGTCCGTACCTGGATTCAATGACGCCATTGTACTGAAAGTACTTCAGCTTTAGTAGCAACCCACAGAGGCATAACAGCTATGCCAGTAAAGTCCTTGGAGACCTTTCACCTTATTGCCATTAATCACCTTGAGTAGCTGGGCCGTGTGAAGCATCTCTTCTTTCATGGCAGATTTTAAAAACAATATTTTTATTTTGTTTTTTGGGGTTGTTTTTGCTCCTCAATCCACACCTCATGTCCTTCTTTAGGGTCCTCTGGAATCCTCACCAATCTCCAAAAAGTCAGTGTACTGGGAAAACCTCCAGATCACTTTAAAATATCTATCCAATAAGTATTGCCCCACACACCTCCTAACAACTGATATTTTATCCCTTTACAAACCAAACTCCCATTCGTTATTGCAGTGGCTTGAAACTGATGTTTGGAAGAAAGCAGTGTTCTGAAATCTTTTTGGAGTATGGCTGATTTTTAAGGAAATTTGGTCTGCCACTGGACATTCTCAGAGACTTGAACATTTTTGATCATAAATCCTGTAAAAGGGATTCCTATTCTTGGTGGGAGGTTGGACTAGACCCCTGAGGTCTTTTCAATCTCTAAAATGGGAAGTTATGAGTAACCTGTGGACCATTCAACTTTCTCAGCGTAATACATGTTTTTAACGAGAAGGTTGAGATGATGAATATAGAGTTAGGTTTCAGGGGCCCATTCCCAGCTCAGAAACTGTTGGAGGGAAGACAGATCATATTTCTATTGCTATTTCCACACCTGACTTAACACCAGCCCCAGGAAGACAGTAATATGTCATCTTTTTACTCAGTCAGGGTCAGATAAAGTCTATAAAGTTCAACAAAGTGCCAGAGCTATCGTCATTTTTCTCTTCTCAATGTACTATCCAAGTCTCTGGGATTTTGACTCAATTACAATATAATTTAGGGTCAGGAGAAGAAGAGAACAGGACTGTTGTTAGTCCTGAAATTGGAATAGAGTTGTTCTATGAGACATTAGCAATTGTGGACATTTAAACCATTTTGAGTTAACATCTCTACCTCCCTGGAGTTTAGCTGTTGGTAGAACGTGTTCTATTGTGGTAGCAACAGTTGCAGCAGCTGTGAGGAAGTCACAGCCACCAACCAACCAACTGGATAAATCAAGGACTGAAGCTGGGATGAAAAAGTAAGTGCTTAACAATTCTGGACTCAACAGGTGTTCTTAAGATGGACTAGAAGGAAGAAGGAGCAATGTTATAGAGGAAGTCACAAGAAAATGAATAAGCCTTTACATAATAGAGCTAATAAGATTTCCTTCTTCAGAAAATATGTAATTTGCTTTCCTTTTCCAGCCAAGGTACTTGAGATATCTTATCCATTATTATCCAAAGCCATTTCTTTAGCAGATGAGAAATGACATATCTCAGTTTGATTCAAGATCACTCAACCCAGTATTATGAAAAATTCCTTATGTTTTCTGAGCATAATTATTTCCTGTGGAGATGCAATAAGAAGCAGCTTTCAGAACTAACTCAGTTCTAACTCAGGCCTGGATGGGGTGGGTGATACTGGCGTTCTCCAGTGTAATTTGAAATTTAAAATAATCTTACTTGGGCCTGGATTTCTGTAACTATTATAAGAATGTATTTTGGTTCATGGGGCTTAGAATTTGAAAACTTGGTCAAGAGACTAGAAAACCTCACAGATAATGTTCACACTTGGACCCTCCCATTCTGTCTTATCAGTGAATTTCCTTATAGAAAGATATGAGCAAGAATACAGAGCACTTAAGGTTGTGTAGGATTCTCCTAGAAACTGAGCAGGGGAGCCAGAGAGAAAGGTACAGTAGGTCAATAAGTGTAATATAGTAACTTGAATAAACGTGAAAACCTGTGAGTGTTTTGGGTAGCATTTTTCTAAAGAGTGCTGGTGGAAATCCCACCTGAGAAAAATCAGTCATATAAAATGCATGAATAAGAGCAGCGTTTATAAATATCCTCTATATTAGTAGTAAAAATAACTCTATTGAGCAAGCTTAAAGGAGAAACAAAAGCAATCTATTTCTTCAGTGAACAGAGAGCAACTTAAGTGCCCAGCAGGCCAGTGTACCTGGAATGCTGACTTACTCCTTGGCTGATGCCTCTAGAATGGCCTCCCTGTGGTCTGAATTCCTACCTTATTTTGCCTTTTCTCCTTCTACAACAAGATCAGTGTGCTTTACTTTCATAAGCATGCGTCAAGTAACAGGGCAAGGGCATGTGCAGAGGGGACCATCTCTGGCAGGTAGGATTGGCAGGAGGCAGTGTACTTATGCATGGACCAAAAAAATGATAAGTTTTTAGTGAAAATAGCACACTCTATAGAACAATTTCTTTCTAATATGGATTGAGAATCTTGAAATATAAGGGAATTTTCAGAACCACAGTTAGTATATTAGGTTGCTTAAATTTTGGCTAAGATTCTCAAAGAGAATGGATATCTTCTGGCAGATTCACAGGCAGTAAAGAAAATGATCCGTTTCACCCCTTCTAATGACCTGTTAGTTCCATTCCCTATCTTTACAGTGTGTACCTTCCTGAGATCTAAGACATTGTCTCTAACAGCCTAACAAATGTATTTTAGCAAACATTAGGAGAAAACAAGATCATGTATTTATGCTTTAAAGAAAATAAGTTTAAGGACTTTGCTCTTTTGTCATATTTCATCCAAAGTAGAGGTTGGAGTTAAGCTTCTCTTTGGTACTCAGAGACATTAGAATTAAACTCAGAATCTCTTTCAGAAACACAGATTTGATTTCAAAAATACTGCACATCCTCTATTTTATTAAATGTGATCTTGCAAACACCTGTGAACTTCTGAAAAATTACTATACCTCAAATCTCCTGAATCCAGTGTGCCTTTAAAAAAAAAGAGAGAGAGATTAAGGACACTCCAAGTACTACATTCCCAGCAAACCACATAAGAGTGAAAGAGCATTACCTAAAGCCAGTCTGGTCATGGTTGAATTGCCACCCCAAATTAGTATTCATGAGGGTCTCCCTGACAAATGGAGTTATTATCCACAGATGCTGTAAACATAAATCAGGAGGATATCATCAATAATGTTGTATTCTCTTTGTCCTCATTGTGTTTACAGATCTTGCTTTGAACAGCACATAAATACTTGGAGCATATTGCGGGAAACATGCCACTCATCTTATTAGCTTTCTCTGGCTCCAAGCTCTGACGCTGATCATCCCGACAGTGTTTGCCAACAACAAAAGAAGCCTATTGATCACATTACTTCTCTCTTTGGCAGCCTTTCTGCCCACGATTACCTTGCATCACTTGCCTTAAGTCAAATGTCACAGAACAAACTTACCAGGGATGTATCTATCTAATACAGCAAAATAAATTACTATGAGTATAATTGGAGGAAAATCTTTGTGAATTGTTTCCAATTTAAAATTTTATTTCTTGGCGTTAACGAACAGTCAAAATCAAAACTTACTTTGGAAGCTCCAAATCCATAAAATTGTACTCATTTACAATTTATTTTCTGAACAGTTTGCAGAGTCCCAAATATCTTGGAAACTGATCCATCAATCATTCTCAGAATCACTCTATGTATGAACAGTTTTCTCTGCTGGCATTTTCGTTCTATAACAGAGTATCTCTATTGAAGTTTCCTGGTAATTTTTCATCTGTGTCATAGCCTTCATTTGTCTTTAACTTATTTTGGATAGATACTATGAAAGGATACATTACTTTTTGTTTAAGTTGAAAATAATACTTTGCAGACAGAGAATGTAGGAATGTAACTAGGATATACATACTCAATGTGAAAAATAGGCTGTTGTGAGATTATTTGGCAGGAAAAATAATATTTGTATTGCAGTATTATAGAGAACAGGTGCTCACATATAAAGACAGTCATTCCATAACTGGTCTTCCTGACACATTATATTCTGTATCCTGTTACCTATAATTTCTAGGATGTTTGTTAGACTCTCCAGAGGAACTGGCTGTCTCTATCTGTCCCAATATGGAGCAATTCTCCTTCACTGAAGCATATGCCATACTTGGCGGTCAGTGTGCATTTTCAGGTCTATATCCACCAACATAAATCATGAAGAATGCAGGAACTCGGTCCTGTTTGTGGCTGATCCTTGCCTGATCCTTGTGGCTGTCCTTGGGCAAATCTTGAAGCTTCAACTACCATATCTGTTCTGTTTTGCTGACTTGACTCTGCTACCTAGCTTAGTATTCAATCCGAGTATCTGTCCTCACCTACCCACATACCCCCATGTGATGTCGTCTCTGAAAGAAAAATAAAAGGGGTGGGCTTAATAGTATAAAACCAAGAGAAGTCTTCTTGACAGCAAGGGCTTTGATTGAAATCAGAAAATGAAGAGCCGTATTCCTATGTGCCATGTTTAACTAAAGACTAAGTCACCTCAAAGTCATAAATATGGCAGAAATGAAAATCATGAAAGAAACTACTGCATAACCTGCTGAGTGCAAGCTGGAGGAGACACTTCAGGAAACATGGATCCCTTTGAACTCTCCTGGAAGCTACTGAGACTCCATACTCTAAAGACAAAATAATTGCATTGGTGTCATTTTACAAAAGACATAGCTAAGACATGTCTAAGCCTCTGTGTTATTTACTAAGTGCCTACTATGTGCTTGACAATTTTCCTTCATTATCTCATACTCACTGCTCCCATTTTTTCTTTATGGCTTTAAACAAGTAAAGCAATTTCCCACTTGTTTTTCCTGATACGGTCTTTGAGCTCCTTCTCTTCCAAGGAGACTTTTCTAAACTATCATGTCAGCCAGTTTGAACATTAACCATTTTGTGATTGATTCATATCTGACATATGTGGTCTGCACTTCTAGACCACTACTTTTGTATGGGCTTTTTCTGTCAAAATCTGGGTCCATATGATTCATTGATTTATTAAATTGTTTATTAATTTATTCATTTAGAAAATAATTGAGAGATAAGCATGAGCAAGACCATGACCTGGAATCTTTTAGTCAGCAACAAAAAATAATCAATTGTAGCATAATCTCTAGTATTATCATTGTTTTCTTTTTCTTTGTAACCAGGGCTTCAGACCCTGAGGATGGAATAGTATCAAGACTGTAGCTCCAACCATGAAAATAATGTATGCTGCACTGTCCCCTGCAAAACTCAGCTTTTTCATCTACCTCTTTTTTTTCCTAAGGATATTTGGTGAATAATTGAAATAATTGCAGAGATAGATATTGAAAGGCTTTTTGTAAATCCAGGGTATTACTGTCTCTATAATTAGGCTATGCACGGTATATAGAAATCTTGATTAGAGCACTGCTTTTTCAAAAGCTAATTAGCTTGCACAACAATATGTTTCCTGGATATGTTTTAGAGGATTGTTTTATATTTTCTTTTCACTCCTGTCTCCAGAGCAAATGAACTGAAGTGTCCTCAGAGGAAGACTCAGAACCCTGAAGGATAAAACCTGCTGAGTGAGGCTGATGGGGGGACATTTCCCTGAGGTGGCTTAGAATAAAGTATATAGCTCCTGAGCTGAGGCATACAGATGACTAGGCTGCAGGGGGCTGTTGGCTGTCCAGCGATCATGACAGAGTCAGGGAACCACCATGCTCCATGGTTTCACCTGCAGAATACCTTTGGGAATTTTCTCCTGTCCAGAAAAAAACCTTCCCATTCTGTTCAAATGTCCTAAATCCTCCTCTGATTTTCCAGGGACTCTGTGCCCCCATAGCATTTATTTTACTTATGTTGTGATTATTTGTTTGATATGTCTTTCTCCCCTTCTAGACAAGGATCTCATTAAAGGAAGGGAATATTTCATTTTCCAATCTCTATGCTAGTTGAAAGAAAATAGGAAAATATTTTGCTTGATTTTTAAGTCAGTAATCCTTGAACCATCTGGATCTCAGACTCAGGTGAGCCTATCGATTCCCTCCTAAATGAAGTCATGTATTAAAAATTCATAAAATTGTAGGAAATACATAGACTATTCTTGCTCCTCAAAACAGATACACTTACTCCAGAAGAATCCTTTTACTTTTTCTCCTCTGCTCTCATTGCCCAAAACAGTCATCAGATTCTCATACAAGCCAACCAATTAAAGGCAATCTCGGTCTTGCATTTGAGTTCCACTGGAGTAGGGCAAAATCTCGTTGTGTTTTGTAGCTCTTAGGAAAATGATCACTATTGTCTTCAGGTTGCAAATATTTACTTCTGAAATTCACAGGAAAAGAACACATGGGCTACTCCAGCACGTAGAGCCACTGTGTGAACCCCACATACGTATGTAGATAAATGTTGGATGGGAGAGTTTAAGACCATTGCTTAAATTCAAATCACTTCTGCAGGAAATTCTCCTTGATGGTTTGAATCTATGTATTGCTACCGCTCCAGCAATGCACTCATCACAGACCTCTCCACTGTTAACATGGAATGATTCTTAACTGATATTAAAGATGGAGAATAACAACAAAATCACTCAGTAGTCTTTTATCACAGTACACATACCCCATTTTCTTCCATGAGAAAGGGACATTCAAGGAATGGGTGTTGCTATATTGAAAGAAGTGACTTTCTAGGGTTAGGGGATACTGTGCTATTTTCTCCAGATGGGTGGGCATTTATAACTAAAATAATTTCACAAACTTAAGTTACAGAAATTTATTGAAAACTTTATACATGCAAGGCATTATTCTTAGTCCTTTATTTTTATTATCATACTTACTACAATAATTTTATGATATAAATATAATTGTCTTCCATATTTGGCAAATAAGGAAACAGAACCTAAAAGCTCACATGGTAAAGTGGCAAACCCAGATGTCTCATCATGGAGCATGTACTTGGAATATTCATGCTACCTGTTTCTGTGCATAATGATGATTTCCCCACCCCCATCTTCAGCCAGGTGAGAATCACTACAATAGGATTCTAGCTTTGGAAGGTAGCAAAGCATCCATCCATCCCCAAGAAACAGCCC
The DNA here is from genome assembly GCF_000001405.40 of Homo sapiens. Lineage (NCBI taxonomy): Eukaryota > Metazoa > Chordata > Mammalia > Primates > Hominidae > Homo > Homo sapiens. The sequence continues at coordinate 21,723,460 of NC_000002.12, read as the reverse complement.
CATCTTCTGAATCTCCCAATTATCTGCCACCCTCCCTGCCCCCTCTTCCACTTCCTCGAACATTGCCCATGATTAGAAAACACAGATCCTCATTAAAGTCCATCCCTCCATCCTATTGGTACAAATTAAAACTAGCAGTGGCCCATGCAGTGAACTCAGTAGGATCCTAGCTAATCATTTCTGCAAATGGAAAAATAGGATTTTTCTTCATAAGCACCATCTGTACCCTCAGGACATTCTTATTAACACTTTCTCTCCTGGGCTACCCTTCTACTGAAAACTACTCAAAGGTTGCAGAGTTTCCCATTGATCTGGCCCCTGAGACCTTTCTAAAGGGCTTTAGAGAACCAGCGGCTTATCTGGCCATTACAGCAACGTTGTGAATGAACTCTGTAAGCCGTGTGGTACTATTTCCAAATTACAGATGAGCCTGCAGAGGCCCAGAGACTTGAAAATGATATGCCCATTCATCGAGTAAAGGTTTTGAGTGTTCACTACATATCAGGCATTATTCAAAGTTCTTCAGGTACAGCACTGAGCAAAACAGAAAACTCTCTGGCTTCATGGAAAATAATTCTAGTGGAAAAAAAATTATGTCATAAATGGGGCTCCTTTCTCATGTAACACAGCTACACAGAAGCAGAGGTTGCTTCCTTCAAGCCCAGTCTCATGCCAGAGTCTCTGCTCCTAACCACCATTTTATCCTATGCATTGTCATGCAGCTGGCTGGTAGAAAGGGATTCAGGACACATCTCCTGAATTTTGGTCCAGGTTTTCAGCACAAGACTAACTTTCTGAGAGAAAAGACAAGTATACCAATCAATTTCTTTGACTGTATCCAAAGAGGTTTTGTGTATTCTCCATTTTCCCATTTGAGTAGTGGCCAAGTGTATTGGGCTTCTGGTCATATTAAGATATGGCTCAAATGCACTCTTGCCCTACTAAGTGACTGAGTGGCCCGGATAAGCCCAAACCCTCCAAGCCATTCTTAAATGGAGTCCCCACCTCACAAGTCTGTTTTAACTATTAAATTGTGTATTTAAAGTACCGGCACAATTTTTAGTAGAGAATAAGCAGTCAAAATATTGTAATTATTATCTTTCGTATTACGTGATAGATCTTTAGCGTTCTCCAATGACTTCCTGTTCTCCAACTGTCTCCCATTTTGTTTGAGAGAGGCTAGGACCACAAGGAAGCTGTGTCAACACCAGAACAAAGGGCTTCAGCCTCTATATGAGGGTGTCCAATCTTTTGGCTTCCCTGGGCCTCACAGAAGAATTGCCTTGGGCCACACATAAAATGCACTAACACTGATTATAGCTAATGAGTCAAAAAATATTGCAAAAAATCTCAAAGCATTTTAATAAAGTTTACAAATTTGTTTGGGGTGGCATTCAAAGCTGCCCCGGGCTGCATGAAACCCATGAACCACAGGTTGGACAAGCTTGCTCTCTATACAACAGCTAACTTCACTGATGATTCTGAGGGAACACAAGGATCACCTGGAGGTCTGAAATTTCTACCCAGCAGCTCTGCTACTGCTTAGGATTTCAATTACTCCATCAACTTTCACCATATCTTCAAACCATGAGCAAAACCAATTGATTTGAATTTGATTAAATAAATTGATTCAGCAAAACTGTTTTCTGAGATCTATTCTGCGAAGGGCATAATGCTAAAGGATGATGATGATGATGATGATGATGAAGAAAGGTATGGTTTTTGGAGCATCTACTGTATACCAGACACAATAACGTTGCTTCACATTCACTATTTCATTGGATGCCAACAATATTCCTGCAATATAATTCTAATTTTGCAGATGAAGAAAACAGGGTTTAAGAGTGACAAGTCCTGGGTTCAAGATCACACAGTAATAAGTAGCACAACCTGGACTGAATTCTTAGACTATCCAACTACAAAGTCTCTTTAGGTTTTTCCTGCTTGTTTGAGATCTGGTAACTGATCTCTAATAGCCCATTTCATATAGAGATACTTCTCTCCACCCAAGCCAGTGCAGATATCACCAGTGTCCAGTGTATAGGACAGAGGGTGCAAAACAGACAAAGGTACTGAAGAAGCTCAGAAAATGAAAAAGGTAAACTTGCCTTTGACATGTTGGGAAGAGACCTGCAAATGTGCAAAATGCAAGTCTGGGAATATGTATTTTGAGAATTACATGGAGCTTAGAACATTCTTCACTGTTTCTTACACCTCGGATTGCTGGGCATATTGACTCTTTCTCCACCCCTTTTGTAAAGGGATGGTGAGTGGCAAATGCCATTGCTATCCCACTCCATAGGCCCTCAGCTTACCTGTCAGTCCACCTACACTCTGGGAGACTTTTCAAACATGCAAAGAGCTGCCTACTCCAAACACACACAGATCTCAGGTCCTCTGCTTGAGGGCTTCTCTGAAGCCAGGATCTTGCAGTCCAGAGTGCTAGGAGATTCACCTCTCCAAAGGTAGCCTTAATCAACAAGAGATGGAAATCCATACATGTGCATTTCAGTGCCTTGTTCCTTAGTGAGACAATACTGACAATACTGAGTTTCAGTCTATGCAATTTTTCAGAGGATCCCCGGAGAGATGGAATCCTCAATGGTAACCTGCTTATTAAGGCACCCTTGATTGGCTTTGTACCCTTCTCTGTCACCTTCACCCCTCCCTCATCTAGGGATTACCACCTAAAGAAAGTACCTGCTCTCAAGTTCATGTCTCAGCATCTGATTTTGAGGCCACCCTGCCTAAGATAAGGTGAGAGAGATCCCAGATTAAGGAATCTGCCATTTCTTTTGGTGAAGTTATTAGAGAAGTTCTATACCTAACACATCTAACTTTTCAAAACTTACAGCTTTATTTATGTATTAACTCTGCCTGATTAAGCCGCCAACATCAACCCAGTTGCTGGTAGCACTGACCTTAGTGCTGCCAGCAGGCAGTGAAATAAATGTCACACCCTGGGCCTGTCCAGGAGAGGTTTATAGTCTGCAGGGAGAAAAGGGTGACTCTCATGCTCCAATTAAAAAATAAAAAGACAGCATATAATCAGGTGCGAGTCTAAGAGCCAGCTGCTCTGCATGCTTGAAGATTTTAGAGACGGTGGGGAAGAATAGAGGCTCTAAATAATGCAAGTCTCTCCAGATGTGCCATAAGGGGGGTGTCCAGTGTTCTATGGTTTACAAGATGTAAATTGCCTCTGCTCTTTGGTTTCCATCAACACCAGTCACAGCAAGTTAAGCACAGCATACAGAGGCATGGGAAGTCAGGAAAAGATTAATGAAGCACACCCAGTAAGAGTTTCAGATACCCTCAGGGGAGCTCAAATCCCCCTTCTGCAGAAGGGAGCTGGCATCCTGGGACACACAGGAAGGTCCCCCCTCAGGGTGCCCTTGAGGGGCAGGACCAAACGTCACATACCACACATCATGCACATCGGGCTCTTGTGCAGGGCTGAAACCAAGTAAATCCCAAACTTTGCTCGGCCCAGATTTCCCAGTCGAGTTACATGGGATGAGACTTTGGTCTCTGACAAATTAATGGAAATGGGATTTATATTGAAAACACAACAATGAGCAAATGAAGAAATTCATATTCGATTTAAGTCACATAGGCTGTGAATTGGTTGTGAATCTGGCTCCGTGGGCAAAAGGACTGAATAGGGTCAGCTGTCTGAGCTGATGTGTGAAGTTTTTAGGTTAGTTTTGATCCAGGGCTCATCAAATAATCTATAGTAGGAGCCAGGTACAAAATAAAGTGCTTCACATTGCTACTCTAATTCTTGCAACAAACTCAAATAATTCTACATGCATTTCTTGAGTAAAAAAACATGCTCAGAATGGTCACAATGGTTCAGAAGAGGCAGAGCCAAGACTTTAGATAATCATCCCAGACTCTGGCCCCTAACCACTCTTCTAATTATATTCAGCAAATAAGTAACATTGGACATTTGTGCACATACATGTTAGTGTGGGTGTAAGCTTTGATACATGTAAAATGCATTCTACATGCATATATTAATGTACATATCATAATACAGTTAGCTGATAGAAAAGTTAACTTTCTAATTTGTGACCTAGCACACTTTTGCTTAAAAATTCCATATTCGTTGCAGGAGATACGGTTGTCCTCTTTCATGTTTGAAAACTGAATGAATGAGAGATTCAAAGTTAAGTTTCCCTTCCAATTCCAAGGCCTTTTCATTTCATTTGCACTAACCCAAATGCCGTGCTCTTGTTCAAAGCACTATTGTCCATGAGCAAATATGTTTGGCTTCTCCTGCTGTGCTTTTTCACACCTGCAACAGTATAACTCGGGCAACACTTCCAAGTAGCTATTGAATAAGTAAAAGGGATAACACTTCATAAAATTAATTTTGTTTGTGGGTTCCCTAAGTTTTCTTTTCTGCTACAAACATCTCTTATAAGAATGCTTATTTATCCTTATTTATACTCATTTTACCTTTTTTAAAAGCAGTTTCACATAGATTTTTGCACAACAGTGATGTAAAGTTGGTAGGGGATTATAATGCCCATTTACAGCTAAGAAAATTGAGACTCAAAGGATTCACAAATCGTCTGAATACTACTCAGCCAGTACTGGAGTCGCGTCTTTACTTCAAAATATATGTATGTGTATGTATTTGCGGTTATGCATGTTTTAATGTTGGTCAATACAGATTTTCGGAACACTCACAATATACCAGGAAACGTGTAGAGAAGCAATGCATGAATTGTGGATTTTGCATTCAAAAATTAAGCAGAAAACCAGGTAAGAAATCGTTAAAGTCACCTGTATTGTAAGAGAGATGTAAATAAAGTGTGATAAGAGTGTGGACAAGGGAGAGACTAACAGTGCCTATGACTGAAAAATCAGGTAAATCTTTTTAGAGGTATTTTAGTTAGCCCTTGGAGAAGAAGATAATTTGTACAGGTAGAAAAATTAGGGAGAAAGAATTCTATGCAAAGAACACCAGATAAGGACAATAAGGATATTTGGAAGACGGAAAGTGTTGTAGGATGGCTGGAGTCCAGAATGTAAGAAGGAAACTGTGAGGAGTAGAGACGGAAAGCAAAAGTATGGCAATGTAACTAGTGCCTCTTAAAGGCATGCCAGAGAGGATGGACTTTATTTTACAGAAATTGTAGAGGTTTTACAATTTCCAAGTGAAATGGAAAAAAAATAATTCCCATGAGAGGAGTAGAGAAGAAATTGGAACGGATCGGTGGGGATGTCATGAGTGACCGAGAAAATATCCCTTCCTCTGTGAATCATCCTTTTGACTCCCCCAGGTGAGGATAGCTGCTTTGTCCCTGGAATCAACAGTACCTTGCCCTTGTGCCTATAACAGCACTTAGTATATGTGTTTTAGTTTTCTTGTACCTAGATCTGCCACAATTTTGTCTTCTCACTTCCTCTGCTCCACTCAAATCAAATGGAGAACAACTGGACACAGTTTCTGCCATTTTGTACACAATCAATCTTTATATCCAAGGATGCTGCACATTGACTGGCTCACAGTATGTGCTCAAATAAAGGTTTACTGGATTTCATTGAATGGAATCCATAGGCAAGGAGACAAAGACTGATGAAAATATCAATGAATTTTAGGTAGAATGAAAGTAAAATAAATTCATGGCTGAGGGTCATTATTTTCTCAGTGTGATAGGAAGCAAGTCATCTATCGTAGGGGAGAGAAACATAAATTATTTTGATTTCTTAAGGAAGTCAGTTAAGGTTTGGCTTCAGAGGATACAAAAGGAAATCTAAAATCGAAAAGGGGGAAAGGGCATTTAAAATTGCTCTGTACACACATATGGGAAGAGAAAGCATTGCTATAGAGTAGAGCATTTACATCTGATTTTATGACTTGTTTCCAAAGAAGAAAGATGGTCTGATGGTCCCAGCTTGGGGATCTGTCACATGCTTGGGTTCAAGTAGTTGAAAGAACTGAGGATTTTGGAGAAGGACTGGTTACAATATCATAAATGGATGGAGAAGAAGGGTAAGAGAATATGAAGTGGAGCGTTCCACTAAGAAATTTTAAGAGATTGACTCCAGGAAAAAATGAAGAGTGTGAAAACTAAGTTAAGTAAGTAAAGTAGAAAGATGGACTTTTAAGACAAGTGAAAAAGCAATTACTTGGGAGCCAAATAGACAGTGATTTTAACCCCGGATCTACTACCACGTATTAGCTGTGACCTGGTCTGAATTTACTAATCATTCAGAAGCTTAATTTTCACAAAAGCAAATAGGTATTGTCACATGATTTGGAAACTGAGAAATCTTCTGTGCTTCCAAGTCAGAGCTGAGAAAAAAAGGATCCCAGGGAATCACCAAAAGTTGGAATCAGTGTATCCAGGTAAGAAGTGCTACTAATAGAAATGACAGGCACCAGCAAACCCATCGTTCACTGAAGTCAAAATAAAGAATATCCAAGTATTGGTGAAGAGAGATCATTATCCCCTGCCATGCTGAGGTGGGTATCCTCTGCTTGTACATCAGACCCTCCCTCCACAGTTCTTCACTCTGCTCAAGGCTCTGAGATGGTGGCATCTGTGAATTGCAACACCAGGATCCCCTGCCCTCTGGATTCTGGTTGTTTTCTGCTATTGTGAGACACCAGCAGGAAATGGAAGGGCAAAGAAGAGAGAGGTCAAAGTAGTTATCCCCCTGGCTGACTGCCTGCCAGGTCACTAGTTGCTAGTGACAGTGTTTCTATGACTAGACTTCCTACTGGGCAAAGTCTTCCATAGGTACAACTCTTTTTATTCACATCCCTGCTGAGTAAGGAGACTATGGTGAACAATTTCTAATATTTCTTTTTTGATCAGTTGGCTATCTTTGCATATTCTTAAGGGCATCATTTTGAGGATCATTTTTTACTGCTCAAGGCACAAAAATCATAGAATATTTCATTGAAATGTACCTGCTAGGCTACATCAGTTGTTGCAATGTGTATGTGCATGTATATCGTGTGGTGTTGTATTATGTTGAACCAAATCATGCATTTTTGCCAAGACTTTCTCTTCATCCCGAAATGGATATATAGCTAAAGGCAAAAGCCAAGCCACTGAACTGAAAGTTCTGTTTTAATTCTTGTTAATTGAGGTTGTCAAAAATATGCATATTAGGAAAGCAAAATAAAACATCTTCCATGAAGTTCTGCCTAACAAATACAATAGGAGTTACAAATAATGCCTGGACAAAAGCAGCCTGCAGGACCTGGAGAATATCAAGCAGTAAGTTTTCCTTGACTCTGAGACATATTTTAGAGAAGAAAAATCCCTGGGCTTTGAGCGACTATTGATGTCATTATGAGGCCCTTCTGCACAGTCAGCACAGAGAATGCAGCCAGCACTTCGCAATGCTGCCTTTGTTCTAAGTGCAACCGGGGAAAGTGGGCCCAGCAAGCCCTTTGCAGCTCACCTCGCAGTGGCTATAGTCTGTAGTGCTAAGCAGCACACAGAAAGCCTAAAAATAAAATCTGTCACCTCCAAGTCTTCTTTCCTATTCACATTTCACTCAGGTTAGTTTCCCACTGCTCTCTACTTGCTTAGGATGACAATGGCAGAGCAGTCATTAATTAGTTAGTAATAAAAAGCATTTTATAATCTCTATCACAAATATCAAATATTCATCAGCTCTACACAGACAGCTAGATTCCTCTCTGGGAGCAGGCAGTGGCTGAGTTATATTTTACTTAACTTTTGGAAGGGGAGAATAGTAATTACGATTTTTTAAAGAAATTATAATCATCTTTCAAAAAAGCAATTTTTCAAATTATAAATCATATTTATGTGGAAGAGATTGGCTTAGATGATCTCTAAGCATTTATGTCAACCCTGACCCAACTACACACAAATCACATGAAAGGGCAGAAAATGTGCTTCTAAAATAAATTACTATCCCAGTGCTATTAACAAACCAGAAAGTTCCAGGACTTCGTAAGAGATAGATGACAAGCAGAATTGGATCTATGTAAAAGCAAACCCAGAGAAAATATAGCCAAACTCATAGAGGAATACTGTTGCAGAGTCAAGGGCAGTTCTGAGGAACTTTAAATCCAGGCTTAATAGAATCCTGGGCAGTAAGGGAAGGATAGAACTTGAATAGGGGATGATTTGGAGAACTCGACAGCCAAGCCAACTGAATTTTTCTGGATTGCGTGCAGCAGTGGGATGCAGAGAGATTTCCATCTTTACCAAGGCAAGAAGAATGGTGCTCCAGGGACAGAGCATTGTCCCCGAAAGGTCCTAATTTCCAGAGAGTTGTCAGCATACCAGGTAGTCGGGTGATCACTATCCACTATCTCTGGCAAGCTCCTCCTTCCCTTGGAGTCACTGAAGACAGACCAGGCATTTCAAAATTATCCCTCAATGGCAGAGCAAGAATCATAAAAGCTAAGGTGAGAAGACAACCAGAGATGTCTTTTCCCATATTTGGGGAGTAATCGACTTTATTTTAAAAATCTTTAGGAAATTTTTTGTTTCAATAGTGAAAAAAGTATGTATTCCTGAGCACCCAATTTGACGTACTTTTATACTAAAATAGCACCAAATTATATTAAAGTGGAGATAATTGCTTTGATAATTTGTATTAGCTATTGATACATAAAATAACAATGCATTTTTCTTGTATTTTTAGTCTATAATCTAGCTGGTTACTTACTGTCAATAAACACTTGTGTAGATACGAGATACTGTACACTTAAGAAATACTAACAAAACATTTGACCCATGGAGCACAATGGCAGCTACTCAGGAGGCTGAGGCAGGAGGATCATTTGAGGTAAGGAATTTGAGGTTGCAGTGAGCTATGATTATGCCACTGCACTCCATCCTGGGTGACAGAGGGAGGGCTCTGTCTCTAAAACAAACAATCAAAAAACATTTTACCCAACGTTTGTGAAGTCACCCTTTCATTAAAAATCTGAATCAATTTCTAAAGTACAAAATGAATCAATAGAAATAATACAAATTATATCACACTTTCAAAGAGTTTTTTATTATAATGATCATTCTGCATGAAATTACCATTGCAGTAAATTGTGAAAATTTGAGTATTCTTAGTCAAGCACAAAATATAACACACAACAACTATAAAGCTGAGATCCTTTTATGGTAATCAGATACTCATGAAGTCTACACAATTCAAATGCAAAGCAGTATTCTTTGGCTGAGTTTTGAGAATTCTTGACAGTCAAATTGGTGTACATTGGGGTATCACGATACATGACTTCCATAATCAGAGTCACGACACTCAGGCTAAGAAGCAGAATGTACATAGATACAAAGAAAATTAGTTACTGGGAAGATATAGCCAAGGGATTCGCCTCAATTCTCCAATTATGCATACAAGGAAAAGTAGGTGGAAAGTCTGAGAGTGAAATTTAAGAGACATGAAGGAGAGATTCAGAAAATCCAGCTAAAGAGAACAGAAAGTAGAATAAGAAAGCATCAAAAAATAACTGAAGATACAAATCTTCTGATTTAAAGGTCAAGCAAGATTTTTTTTAAAGATCATATGTAGATACTTCAATGACTTGAAAATGAAGGTTTAGAGAAAGATATGCCAAGCAAAAGATGAGGGAAGAAAAGATGATATGATAGAGTTAAAATAAGATTAAATAGAATGCAAAGGAATACAGGGTTGTAAACTAGACAAAATAAAACGTACAAATGGATTCACCCAAAAAGCTATAATATTTTAAGATATTTTAAAATTGCTATTATAGCTTTGAAATATTTAAAACAATCTCATTAAAAAACACGAGAATGAGAAATCCATAATCATTACTGAAGAATTTAGTGTCATCTCCCTGTATTGGACAAAACAAATAGATAAATAAAAGCAAATAAGGGTATCAAGAATTAAATAAAACAACCACATTGCAAATAGAAAGTCTTACCCTGAAAAATAAAGCACCATACCCTGCAAATGGAAAATAAACATTCATTCAAATACACATGAAACATATTCTCATATATGATGGCTTAAAAAAGAGCTCAGTAAATTATAACCATATTCTTCAAGTGCAGGCAGCCAAAAAAATACAAATTAAACATAAATTAGACTACCATAGAATCTATTAACTTGGGAAGTTTTACACTGTCTTTTAAATAACTATTGAGTTGAAAAGGCAATATAAAAAGCAATCTGGTTAGAAAGGGAGCTTCAAAACTCTATTTGTAAAGCACTTTATTTAAGAAGGAGAAAAATCTCTGCCTATGTCAAATAGAAGGTTTGAAGACCCTGAAGGGGTTTACGGGAATCTAGATTTCTGCTCTCTCTTACACTTTCCATCACATATGCTCTAAAACCAAACAAATAAAACCCCCAAAACTAACCTATGATAATCAACTACTGATCAGCTTTGAAGAAAGGAACACTTTTATGCACTAATGATAAGACTTTACATTGGTAATTCTTTAAGAAGGTCAACTCTGTATCGGCAATAATTGAAAGTGTGCATACCTTTTGATCTAACACTCTTTGGAAACTAAAAATCAGTACTCACATATGTACAAATATTGTATAGTTAAGAATAGTCTTTGCAGCACTACTTTTACTTTTACTAGTAAATAGGAAACAAAGAACTATAAATCAATGGAGAAATGTTTACATAAATGATGTTTAACCCATTCTATGAAATATGAGGCAGATTTTGTTCTATTTTGCTTTATTTTTTATTTATTTAATAATTAAGGATAACTATATGTTTCAATGCTGAAGTAAATTCAGACATTATCAAATGAAAAATGCAAGTTTTAAAATGGTACATATCATGTGAGCTCATTGAAAAGATATATATTTGTGTAGATACAGATATTTAGAAAAACTTAAGAAGACATGATAGACATATTTGAAGGCATGGGGAAAATCCCCAGAACAATATACAGTGAAATGTGAACATCTGAATTTCCTGACATGGGTATCTGAAGGAGAGTCTTAGGAAGCACTTTCATATCTTGATTCTGAATATTTAAGTAGTACCTGGATCTTAAAAAGTGAAAAATGTATTTACATATTATAGCTGAATAAGCACACAAAATTATTACACTGTAATAGTCAATTGGTATCCATGGGTTCCACATCTATTTGGAGTCAACCGATTTGTGAACTGAAAATATTCAGAAGAAATATGGATGGTTGTATCTGTCTGAACATGTGCAGACATTTTTTCTTGTCATTACTCCTGAAACAATACAGTATAACAACTATTTACCCAGCATTTAAATTGTATTAGGTATTTTAAGTAATCTTGAGATGACTTAGAATATATGAGATGATGACATAGTTTATGCAAATACCACATCATTTTACACAAGGGACTTGAGGACCCACAGATTTTGCTATCATTGGGAGTCCTGGAAAATGCAAAGTAGCAAAAAAGCAGAATAAAAATCACTAAAATTACACAATTTACTGGTAGCAAGCACAGTGCACCGTATACATACTGTTTTCTTTGAAAATTTTGAAATCAAGCACTGTGGTTCTTCTATTTGTCTAGAATCTCCTTCATCTTGCATATCTCATGTCAGAGGCCTGAATAGTGACAACTGATATTCAGAACAACGATAATGACTCGCAAGAGCATCAGGCAGAAAATAAATACTCAATTTCTTCATTAGACTCCACTTAATAAAGTGTAAAGTGGATTAAGACATTTTAAGACTTTCTACAAAAGTTGATATGTACAAAATATTAGTATCTCTCTATTATCAAAAAAAGTCCAAGAATACCATTGAATTATTTCCACTTGTGCAGCAGACTTCTTCCCCAAGTCTCACACTTCAAACAAATAGCTCCACCAATTTAGTATCACCTTTCTTTCATTCAATAAGGAGTCCTCTTTCCCTCACATTCCACGTCCAGTTCAAATTCCATGGCTCTTCTCTGCAAATATATTCTGAGCTAATCCTTTTCTTACCATATCTTGCAGCAGTAGTGCTGCAAAGAATATTCTTAACTATCTAATATTTACACATGTGTGAGTATTGCTTTTTTAGTTTCCAAAGAGTGTTAGATCAAAAGTTGTTAGATCAAAATTTTCAAAGAAAACAATATGTATACGATGCATTGTGCTTGCTACCAGTAAATTTTGTGTAATTTTAGTGATTTTTTTTTCTGCTTTTTTGCTGCTTTGTATTTTCCAGGACTCCCAGTGATAGCCCCATTCAAGCCAACCATATTCTACCAAGACTTCGGCTATGGTCTCTGTACTCTACTTTCTCCAAGATCTTTTCTTCACGAAGGACCCAGCCTTTATCCTGTTTGGTTTTCCCCAAAGCAAGTAGCTTACCTGGTGAAAGGTAATACAAGCAGACACTAGCTGTCAATCTAACTAAAACGTAGGCTCTTTCAGACCAGGGATCTTGTCTTGTTCAGTACTTTGGTCTCTATGGTGCCAAAAAGAGTGACATGCACGTGTAATGTAACTCTGGCACTCCAGGAAAACCTTTATAAATGAAAGAGCAAGAAATAGATTGTGGGGGAATTGCTTAAGAAGTTCAGGAGTGAAAGTAGCTTGGACTATGGTGATGGTGGTAGAAAGAAAAGCAATCAAATGTAAAAGAGTTTGGAGGTAAAATACTCAGAACTGCTGACAGATTGGATAGCAGGCATGAGGAAAGGGACAGTGATATGATTTGGTTGGTTCGTCACCTAGATCTCATCTTGAATTGTAGCTCCCATAATCCCCACGTGTTGTGGGAGGGACCTGATGGGAAGTAATGGAATCATGAGGTTCCTGTGCTGTTCTCATGACAGTGAGTAAGTCTCACGAGATCTGATGGTTTTATAAAGGGTAGTTCCCCTGCACTCCTGTTAAGAAGGACATGTTTGCTTCCCTTTCCACCATATTGGTAAGTTTCCTGAGGTCTCCACAGCCATGCTAAACTGTGAGTCAATTAAACCTCTTTCCTTTATTAATTACCCAGTGTTTGGTATGTCTTTATTAGCAGCATGATAACAGACTAATACAGAAAGTGTTAGGAGCCAGGTATAAAAACGGGATAGATCGCTGTGCCCTTGACTGAGATAGAGTACATTGAAACGTGTCCAGGATGTGGGATGGGAGACAGCCAGGTAGTGGAAGGTGGAAGGTGACTTTCACAATCAATTTCTTTCCAGAGAGAAGACTGTTCTCTGGTCAAGTTTGTGCTTCTGGGAACATCTCATCAAACGTCCTGCCAGCGGGCTTAGTACTGGAATTTGAATATGGGCTTCTCTTTTCATCAACCAGCTGTGTTGCTGTCAGCTTTTATCTCGGGCTGGACACTTTGGAGTGTTTAACTGAAAGTGATGAAAGGTAAGTCAGGCATGACCAGGCTGCTGCCATAATATCCAAGAAGTTGTATATTGTTAACCCAATTTGAGAGTTTTTTTTTTTTAATGAATGTGTTTAAAGTACATTTATTTTCAAAACTCTGCCTATATTAAATTCTGTAATCCTGTTTCACGCTTTCTGGGTGTGCTTTTTCTGTTTTGTTTTTGCCACTTTGCTCTTTCATCTGGCTCAGCATTTGACCACATGGGCTATATTTTTAAATAATTTTCTATGGGATTTTGGCATGTTGACAAACATGTAATTCTCCTAGTGACGAGTTTCAGATTTTGTTAAATGGCAGTCAAACCTATATTTAAGTAATTATCAAAATTAAGAATAAAACAATAACTTTGCATCTCCTCTTAGGGAGGATTACAAATTTAATATGCAACATTTTATTTCTCTGTTCATCATGTTCCAGCCTCATAACACAGTCATCAAGCTAGAAATACAGAAGGCATCACTGAGCCCTTCTTACCCATTTTACCCTTCAGCCTATCCATGAGTTACTTAATTCTATTTTCACAGCTGAACATTTCTCACATCCATCCTGTTTTCTGCTGTAACTACTCCCTTCTATCCTGAGTCTTTGTTATTTCTTACCCAGACTTTGGCAATAGCCTTTCAACTAGTCTCCTTTTCTCTAGTACACCCTCTGAGAAGTAAACAGTGCTTCATGTCACATGAAAATTTTCCTTACCCTACAAAAAACTCTTCAGTGATGTTCTATCACCTCAGAATAAAGTGTCTACTTCACAACATGGCACACACAGTCGTTGAAACTCACTTTTGCCCACTTTTCTGGCCCTGAGCTTCTTAACTCCCACCTTGGATTTCTTTGATCCAGAAACAAGAAACTGTGTATTTTCCCATAGAATATTATCTGGTTATTATTATATATTCCTCCACATTGTCCTGCTGTCTTGAATAGCTATGCTTTCCATCTCCCTTCATCTAGTGCTTGGACATAATTCATTATTTACATCTCATATTGTCTTGGATGCCTGCTCCCATAGACACATTAAGCCCTTAACCAATACTTTGCCTTGCTTTGGTGCTACAACAAACCTACATTATGTCCATCACTGACTTTGCCATATATTAAACAATTATATTTTTATGTGCTTTTTCCAATAGATTTTTAGCCCCTTGAGGGAAAGGACTATATTTTGCTATCTCTTTCTTATCAAAGTACTAAACAATATATATAATAACTTTCTAGCAATATATTAAGTGCTCAGTGTTATTAAATGTATTTTTGCTTCAAAACATGGCAAGACTATCTGAAAACTGCAATTTATTTTTACAGGATAGGAAAATATTCTGCTGTGATTTTGTTGTTTCAGCTTCATTTGTTCTGCTTTCCTCTCTGGGGACCCCTATTATTCATATACTAGCTCTCTGGTCTTTGCTCTCCTATCTATTCTTTTCTTTCTTCATATTCATTCCTGTGACCTTTTTCTTCATTCCGATGTTTACCTATACAACACTGATTTGCTGTTTTTTGTAGTGGAAGTTCTGTACTTTATTCTTTCTTATGAGGATTTAATTTTACTCCTTTCTTTCCCCCGGGATCTGTTTAGTGGGGTTTTTTGTTTTTGTTTTTTAATTTTATCTCGAAAGAGACCACTTTGGTGGTAGAGACCAGCTGTTCTGTGTGACCTCTTGCAAATAATTTGCCCTGGCCGAGCTTCAGTTATCTCATCTGTAAAATGGACACAGTAAATGTGCCTGCCTCATGGGTTTGTTGTCAGGATTAAATTGAACAAAATGTAAAAAACACTTGAAACTAAGCATGTTATAATGTTGGAAGAAAGGACATACCACCCCACTGCTGATGTTTTCTTCCATTTAACCACGCACCCAATGGAGAAATACTTCCATCCCTCTCCTCTCCATCTTTTTTCCTCCCTTCCAGTTGCCTGAAGGATAGGTGAGGGATAAATTCTCATCCCCTTTTCTCGCTTCCTTTAGGAATTTCCTTGCCTACTTGAAGAGAGCAGACACGTTTTCTTGATTGCTCTTGGTCAAAGTTTAACTTTTTAATAAATATGTTACTCTGATTTACTTACTGTTTCTTCCACTACCTCTTCCTTGGTTCAAACTCAGGTGGAAAAAAAAAAAAAAAAGCAGTGTGTCTGTTGGGTCACCTTAAATTCCCAGTATCTGGTTTATTAGGCTGGGCATCTTAAAGAAAAGAATTTGGAATGCATTCTGAGAGATACAAATTATGTCTGGAGTTTGATGCTTATGGCACAGCTGATGTGCATGGCTGTCAGCTGGGAAGGTGCTATGCTAGGCAATGGCCACGTGGGAATTTTCCTTTATTTTTCACGATAGCTGCATATATTTAATACTTCAAGAGTAAATTCTGTAAATGCTTCTGAACTCTGAGTTTAATGCTTCAAAGGGTAAACTAGGCGCTCCAAAATGAGAAGAAATGGTTTGTTTCATGGGAACATAACCCTACTTTCTATTCCATGTTCAAGTATTTGTCGTCTTTATTGTGTTGTTTATGGTTCTTGCTGACATTTGAATAACAATGAGTAAGGATGATATCTCATATAGCATACCTTGCTATCTTGTTCTTTGGATATGCCTAACTTATAGCAGAGAATTTCTCTGAGCTTGAGGTAATCATTGATGCTTTATGCCTTGCTGACATGCTGGGGAATGGCTTAACCCATGGAGAATGCCAGATGCTTGATGAAAAAGCTTCTGTAAACTTGCACACTTGTTTTTCATGTGACTCATCAATTTAGGAGGTTTTTAGCAGTGTTATATAGTTTTAAGCCTTTCTTCTTTCTATTGATGCAATTCTCATATCATAAAATTTTTTCAATTCAATGCTTTTTATGTATTCACAAAGTTGTGCACTCCTTACCACTAATTCTAAAACATCTCCATCAGCCCAGAAAGACGTCCTTGTACCTATTGGCAGTCATTCCTAATTCACCCTGTCCCCAGCTGTGACAACCACTAATCTACTTGCTGTCCCTGTGTAGTTTCCTATTTTGGACGCTTAATACAAATCGAATCATACAATATGTGGTCTTGTGTCTTCTTTCACTTAGCATAATATTTTTAGGTTCATCTATGTTCTAGAATAAATCATGTCTTCATTCTTTTTATGGCTGAATCATATTCAAGTGTGTAAATATACAATATTTTGTTTATCCATTCATCAGACGTTTGAGGGAATTTTTGACTTTGGTTTGTCACTGCAACTTTTTTACCTAAGGACAAATGGTTGTTTCTGTAGCAGTGGAACTATATACACCAGCTTCTAAGCCAAGCTTGTCCAACCCATGGCCCTCTGGCCACATGTGCCCCGGATGGCTTTCATTCAGCCCAAAACAAATATATAAACTTTCTTAAAAGATTATGAGTTTTTTGTGATTTTTATTTTTAGCTCATTAGCTATTATTAGTGTCAGTGTATTTTATGTGTGGCCCAAGACAATTCTTCCTCCAGTGTGGCTCAGGGAAGCCAAAAGATTGAGTGCTCCTGCCTAAGCAAAACAACATAGTACTTAGCAAACTTGAATAGGATGTACAGGTTCAGGAAAGGCACAGGGAACTAGGTAGATAATGGGAACCAGACAAGTGCTAACAAAGTTGGTGGCCTGCGAGGATACTAACAAGCAAACTTTGGGCTCCAGTGGGTCCAGACAACCTTATGTAGCCTAACGGTCCTAGTGAAGCTTGACCTCAAACTATATAGATGCAGTGGGTCTGGTATTACAGGCTAATTTGCACACATTTGCTTGAATTTATGTAATAAAGATTGCTTCTTTTAACAAAATAACTGAGCTTTTCATATTCTTCTGAAACTAGCGAGGTTCTAGCTATATATTGTTAGGATCAGAACTAGCTTGATAGTCCTAGACCAGTTGCCAAATTCCATTCTGCATCCAGGGCCAAGGAAAGATTGTTAGTGGACTTTTTGTGTCTTTTCCAGAGACTGAAAAGTCACGCCCAATAGCTAGTATCAAGTCAGCTGTGGTCTGGTTTAATATAGTATATGTGAGAAGATTCCCCAGGAGATAACTCAAGTGTCTTCAGGTCAAGGAAATTTATAGCAAGAGGCAGTGGAAGAGTGTGGCATAGGATTACAGATGCTGTGTCACTAGATGTAACCCACCCTCAATTCTGCACTCCGAAATGAAAATAAAATTGAAGAAGTTTAGAATATATTAACTGAAAAACAAATGCACCTCACACAAGCCCTGGTGACTGGAAATGCTATTATTGCAAATTTCTGACTTTACTATAAAGTCTCAATACCTTAAATGCTACTTTCACAGAAAGGAGATGTTAGGAGAATATGGTAAATACATAATGCCAAAATCAGCTTCTATTGAGAATTTTTTTCCAATTGAGCTTACCACAGGACATAGATGAGCTAAAATTTGACACATATATAAGGATCTCAGGAATTAAGGCATTTAAAATATATGAGAAGTTAATAGTGAGCAGCTGGTGATATTGAAGTTCTCTGGAAATCCGTTCAAGTAGCAGATCTAGTTACTCATGCAAGCATTGGTAGAGCAATTGGTAACAAGTGACCAGCATTAGCCAAAAGTAACATCTTGTTAAAAAGCATCTCCTTAGTTTTCCTATGAATTATAGGCAACTGAAATCAACTTTTTGACATCCTAGATGGTAGGAAATAGTGGGACACCAAGGGTTGAAGGGAGGCAGGATGTATTTGATTCAAAACACAAATGGTTTACTGAAAGGGGTCCTAGAAAAATGTTTTACATGGAGATAATTGCTCTAGGAGGCAGGAATTACCTTGTTTTCATAATTCTATTATTTGAGATCAATGTTATGTTTTTATCTCCCACAATTAAAAAAAACGAAACACATAGGAGAATGGAATTGAACTAATACAAATCTGAAAGCATCTAGGCTTTATCTAGTACACGAGAATTATTCTAGCTTAAATTGAGCAGCATGATACATTTAGGAGAATACTGCAATATTACTCACCATCACATAGTGTGAATGTCAGGCACTGCACTAACAATCTGATTTATATTCATTCATTTAATCCTCATACTAAAATCAAGAATAAAATTTTCTTCATTTTATTGAGAAAAGCAGAGAAGCATTTAATTTTTACCAATTAAGCAAATTTTATATCAATTAAGTGATAGAACAGATATTAAAACCCAGGTATCCTGACCCTGAAGTCCATGTTCTTCTTCACTGTACCATACTCCTTTCTCTAGGAGAAATTTCAAATTTAAATTTCTTTGGAATTGTTTCTCAATAGGAAAATTTTAAAAAAATTTCCATCTTTATTTCGAGTTGTAAAATGCAAGGGGGTTTAATATTTGAAATTTAATTCCTTGCTCAGAATTTGATATTGAAAAGTATGTTCAAATTTTAAAAATCTGTATATAATTTCCGTGTTTATTATTCTGCAGAACCTCTGATAGACTATGTTGGGAAACCTAGTTATGTCTAGTTTGGATAGAAAGATTATAGAAATTAAGCTTTGTGTACAGAATAGATTTTGACTTCATCAATTGGTGTATTTTTCGGAAGCATTTTAGTTCCTCATAGGAACAAAATTTCATATTTCCCACTGATAAACTCAGGAAAATACCCAAAGAACCATGTTTATTATTGGATGAGTGGTGTCATGAAGTATGAATATGACTTTCCCAACTGTTGACCTCTTCCTGTAAGTGGAATGTTTACACCTCTGATCGCCTATGGGCATGATGGGGGTAACTGGGAAAAAGTGTATTACTAAGGTTTAGTCTCCTATGGAGAATCACCAATACTTATAACACTGGCCTCCTTCCAGGCCTTCAGTCACTCCTATCTTTTGCGAAAAGGAGGCATGCACCTTACTTATGAGTTAGATATAAGGAGTTTGGCATGCTCATCCTACTTCTCTTCTTTTTGCAAGTTGTCTGTTTAGAACTACCTCCCCCTTAACCCATTTATGCCTGAGGTTGCAATTTTTTGAATTTTTACATGAGTGAAAAATCAAACCTTGGTGATGACCCTGAGCAGTAGGATATAAATAACTCCCACATGCTTAGCATTCCAATAATGAAACACTGGGCATAAGTGGGTTAATTGCTCCATGTTTCCAGGTCTTCCTGGGCCTGCACCATTGACTAGGGAAGCCTAATTTTGAGATTCAGCATTAGTATTAGTACATCCTTGCCTGTAAAGGAAAGCTACACCCTCAGTTATCAGTTTTACCTGTAAGAAGCACAATATTTTGACCTATTTGTATTAATATTAATACATGCATTTACATATTTTAACAATAAACTCAAACTTGAATGGAGAAGGAGGATGTTATTTATTGGATCATCTCGAACTCTTTATAGTAATCAAACTAAATAGTGAGCATGATTCTTAGTATCTGCCTTAGTTCAGCTGCTGTAACAAGGTATCATAGACTGTGTGGCTTATAAAGAACAGAAACTTATGTATCACAGTTCTGGAGGCTGGAAGTTCAAGATCAGGGTATCAGCATGATCAGGTTCTGGTAAGGGACATTTTCCAGGTTGCAAACTGCTATCCTCTCCCTGTGTCCTTACATACTGGAAGGTGCTGGAGAGCTCTTAGGTCACTTTCATAAAGGCACTCATCCCATTCATGAGGGAGGTAATTCATAACCTAATCACTTCCAAAAGGCTCCACCTCCTAAATGCCATTACATTGGAGATTAGGATTTAAACCCAAAGGATACATTCTGAGAAGAAACAAACATTCAGTCTATTGCAGCATCATTTGTGTTGGTATCATTGGTATAGTTGTTTATCATCATCATCTCAGCTGGAACCTTTCATCCCAATCTGTTTCCTTTTCATTTTAGCCCATTCATTCCTCATAAATCATCTTTTGATTTCATGAACTTCTCATATATTTCTCGTATTTTCACAGAATTAGCTTCATGAATAATGGTTTACAGAATGTTCTTATCTTTTATTTACAGTAATCTATACCAATGGTACCCTTTTACTTCTGAAACCTCATGTTCTTTTTCCATTATTTTTATATTTATAATAAAGCCTGAACTTTGTTTTTGTTATAATCTTTGAGCAGTGTCAGTTTTATCTATCACCGGTGTTTGTCTTAGAATATGCAGACTGTGTTTAGCTCTGACCTAAAAGTAGAAGATGAGGTGATGTGAGAATTTCCGGTGTAATTTCTAAGGAATTATTGGGAAGGAAAATTTGATGTGGCTCAGTTGGATTTGTATGGTGTTGTCACCACTCCAGAGAAACAGGATGGACCCCCATCCCAAATTTGCTTTGTGTCTAGACTGTTGATGCCACACTTGCAACAAGAGGATATAAAAAGACTTAACATTCACATAAAAAGGCTTTCTAGTGCAAGCAGGAAGCCCTCAAACAGATCTGAAAATGACTTGAGAGCTAGAAAATGCCCCATCCTTAGGCTCAAAATTTTTATTGTGGTTAGGGGGTTGGTCTTGGGTAAAGGTTCCCACACAAGGAAAAGGGATTATGTGATATGAACCTCCCTCTGGAGACAAGGGAGGGAGTGCCAGGGTTTGTTTTTTTTTTTTTTTTTTTAATCAGCTTGCCCAGATACGGGGCAGAAGGGAAAAAGAAAGGATAAGGCTTTAAAACTGTCAGTAGTTGGGCATCAAAAAAATGCAGCCAGACTTTTTAACCAATGGGATTTTCCACTGTTTCCATGTCCTAACTTTTGCATGGTAGATGTTCATCTTGCATACTCTAAAAGAGAAAGTAATTTTACTGTTTATTTAAGCATAATCCATGCAAGGTTATACTGATGAGATTCAAAAGCTGTCATCATCAAAACAACAGTCGAAAAAAAGCACTGGGTGAGGTGGAATTTTTGGACAGAAGTTATGCTTAAAACTCTTATTTTGTGGGAAGGAAGAGAGATATGGAATAGCCTAGGACTCATGTTCAAGATACATAAAATAAATTTGTTAAAATGTAAGAATAATCACTAAACAATAGAAATAGCATGCATAACTTTCAAATCAACCTGGAGAAGAAAAATGAATTAAGAAAGTCAGTCAGGGAAACTGGAGGAAAAGTAGGAGGGAAAAAAGATAAATGGAGAATATAAATAAGATGACAGAAAAATAACAGGTTTATGCAGAAAAAAATCCCACACTTTTATTGTAATTTTATCTGTAAATAAGCAAAATCTACTCAAAGGAGAAATTTGTACTTATGTTGACAGGGAGACATGTCCAATGTTACTGACTGCATCGTTGTTTGTAATAGCTGAACACTCTAACAAACTTAAATGCCCGTAAGTGTGGAAATGGATCAATAAATTACAGTATATGCATACCATGAAATACTGTGCAACAATTAAAATTAACAAGATCTACATGTATAAATTAGATAGATTCCAGAAATAATGAAGAGTAAGAAAATAAACAGCTAGTAGAATGATGCATACATTATTGCCACTCTTAATTAGTTTTAATTAAGAGTTAATTTAAAAACCATAAATACTATATAGCTTTTAATGGATAGACTATGTGTCCTAGAAGTATAAAAAATACAAGCAGGAATAATGCACACAAACTTCAGGATAATAGTTATCTCTGGGAAGAAGGAAATTAGAAAATTCTTTGACAGGATTCCTAATATTTGGGGTTTTATTTTGCATTTTTAATAACCAGAAGCAAATACGGCAGCAGGTTAAAATAATTTGTACATGGATGTTTTCATATGTTACTGTCTATTTTTTTACCCACAAGAAAACATTACATACTTAACCTTGTATAAATCTAAGATATTTCCTATAACACAAAAATATTTTTTAAAATGTCAACAGGATGATAAAATTAAGGCAAGAAAAGTGGTGGTAAAGAGCTACTGGGGAAGGATATACAGGAAGTGAAGTTAAAAGGGGGCAGCATGTGGTGCCCTGGCCTTTATTACATGTGAAGGAATGGATCCAAGGAACTGGAAGAATTGGACTTCCATTGTAATGAGTGGAACTGAAAAGAAAAAGGGAATAGGAAGAGGCAGACATATAGACTTGGGTCATTTGTAGAATGAGAAGTTTCCCATCCAATGTGTTCTATTTTCTAGATAAATCTGAAGCTCAGGTTGACTACTTGAAGATTGAGAAAGGTAACAGAACATGGAGGTCAAGGTGGTTAGAAATTTGAAGACAAGAGAGGGAGTTTGAAATGGTTGCTGGGGGCAATGAGAGTGAGAACTGAATGGGTAAATAAGCAGTTATGTTTGTATGGTGCACATGAGTCTAACCCTCTATTTTTAGCATTCCCAGTTGACCTGGGTATAATTTGCTGAGCTGTTATCAGCAGCCCAGAGTTGGACATAGAACTGTACAAATTTCTACAGTTAGAGTCAATCACAGTTGAGACTCTGCCAGCCACATATGATAATCACAAGTTAGTTTAGCATATTGACAAGAAAATAGCTAAAGTAATAGATCAAGGCACTTAATCTGGATAGAGAGGAAACTAAAAATGTAAGAGGGAGGACAGAAAGACAATAGTAAAACAGAAAAATATAAATTAAAAAGAATTTTCACAATCTCTCTACTGAACAACCACTATTACACTTTGGTGTATTTCCTCTGAGTCCTTGAAAGTTATATATATATATGTGTGTGTGTATATATATATATATATATATATATGTGTATATATATATATGTGTATATATATGTGTATATATATGTATATATGTATATATATGTATATATGTGTGTATATATGTGTGTGTGTATATATGAAGGTTAGTTATATATATATGTGTATATATATATACGTATATATGTGTATATATATACGTATATATATGTATATATATGTATATATGTGTGTATATATATGTGTGTGTGTATATATGAAGGTTATTTATATATATGTGTGTATATATATGAAGAGAAAGACACAGATACATGTATGTGTACATATATACAAATACATATACACATACATACTCACATATGTACCAAATACACGTTTATTTTGTAAGCAAAAAAGAATATTATACTATAGCTAATACTTTATACCTTCTAAAATTGTATGTGACTATTCTTCCAAATTGATAAATATTCAACTAGCATTGATTTAATGAACATATAATATTGCATTTGAGGGAAGCAATCGATGGCATTGTTAAATTATCAATAATAAAAATAATCTAAATTATCTAATGCATTTATGTTATCAGTTGTTTGCTATGATTAAATACTGTTTTAATAATCAATTTGAGGTTCATTCTTTCATATATCTGAATTACTTTCTTAGAATACATTTCTAAATGCAGAATTATATCAAAGAGTTAGCACATCTTAACTACAAGTTGTGCTCTAGGAAGTTTTTACGAAAGTATAAACACACACACATATATATATTTGGTATTTTCAAATATATATATATATATATTTGATAAATTGCCTTTGAAAATTCTTCTTTAGGACTCTCTAGGAGAGAAAGGTTTATAGTACCTCAGAGTACAAGTGCTGGGACCAATAAGTGACTTTTTCTCTATTCCTTCAGAAACAGAGTCAGATATCAAAAGGAAAAATGAACACTGAACTTACACTTAATTCAGTTCCAAAATTCCAGTCTATTAAACATCCTGAGACTCAACACAACAAGGAACAATCAGTTCACATTTCCTCCCTTGGTTCAATTCTTTATTTTTGAGAATGATAACAATATTCTTTCTGCTACCCAAGTCAATCACTATATAGTTATTTTCCCTCCTGCCTGTCAACATCTAGCCAGTTTTCCTGAGCACACAAGCCATTCATCTAGCAAAAGTATATTGGGCTGACCATGCATGCAACAAGCATTTTTGCAAGGTTTGGGAAATAACGAGATGTTCAATTATACAAAATGTATACTCTCTCTTCTTCAATATTTCTACAGAATTTATTATGTGTACTGCTCTTTGAACCTTAAAACACACAAGCTGTGGCAGGTAGATCAGGTTTCCCAGAAAACAGAGTCCAAGCTGCAGGTTTGTGTGCAGGTGGTTTATTGGGGAGTGCTCTCAGGAAAAACAAGTATCACCAAGGGAGGAAAGTAAGATTGGGCACAGGGCTATGTTGAATGGTGATGCATTGCAACAGGGACAGTAGCCAGTCCCACAGAGAGAGCTCTATAGCTAGAATAGACCTTCAGAGCTGTACTCAATGGAGGCAAGGGGGCTGGGACTCTGCATCTCCCCATAGAGCAGTCATTGAATTTATATTGCCCCTAGAGAGACAGAGTAACTTTGAACAAGGCAACTACCTTAGGCCAAGGACAATTCTTGTGGAATATTCATCTGTGAGTATTCAGAGGGCAACACTCTTGAGAAATGGATACCTAGGCCCTAAAGAGGCAGAATCTGAGAAGCCATGCTAACTTGGATTAGTGAGCTGAGCTCTGGTTCTTGGAGAGAATCAGGAAGAACAGCTATTAGGTGTGGGCTTAATACCTGGGCGATGGGTTGATCTGTGAAGCAAACTACCATGGCACACATTTACTTATGTAACAAACCTGTGCATCCTGCACATGTACCTGGAACTTAAAATAAAAATTGATTTTAAATAATGCTTTGGGCTCAAACTATAAAAAGAGACCACCATATATACATATATAAAGAACTGGCTTATATGTGAGGCTTATATCATCAATAGAATTGTAAACTCTTGACAACTACAGAAGGTATGTTAAACTTCTCCTGTTTATTCATAAGTCCAGCATAATGTTTCATAAGTATTAGGTGCTCAATAATACCTGCTGTTTAATTTGACAAAATCCTGCCTCTTAGTTTTATGAAGCACCACCTGTCCCCACATTCACTTTCTCACCTATAGCTGCCATATTAGTCTAAGCATTCATAATTTCTTGCCTTGACTATTGCTTAAATCATATAAATAATTCTTACATTTTACCTCTTTGATAAAATCTCTCTGGTATAACAGCAATATGGTGGACCGTATCTTTGTGGTTAATCAGTGTGGTTACTGAACTTTAAACATAATATCTTATAGTGAAGCCGTGTATTAAATATGAACTTTCTCCTCTTGTATGACCTATATATTTACATGGTTTGGTTTTATGCATCTGATGCAAGACCTGTGTTCGCTAACCTTCTTTGTTTAGCACTGATGTACAAACATGTTTTCTTCTAGATGAATAGTTTACAATGTGCTTCTGTAAAGTCTCAGGGTAAAAGCTGAGAGAGACCAGATAAAGCTGAAGCAACAGATATTAGAGGCAACAACCATACAAGTATTCTGGCCCAAGTCTGATCACAGGCATGGCCCTTAGGGACCAACCCTACTGCTTTCCTATAATTTTCATCTTAAAATCCTAGTTCTTCAGCTTTTCTCCCCAAATATCAGAAGTCACAGCTGTGTCAGGTCTCTGTTAATAGGGAAGATGATATTTAGAAAACCCAAAGAGGGGTACATGAGCTACCATCCAGGAGGCAGATGAGTCAGGGTACATGTGGAATCCAATGTACACTCTGACTTGACTCTGCAAAAATTCAAAATTTTATCCATTTCTCTATGCTCCAAGCATTTATATGTTTGGAGACACAGCATATAAATTTTCCATCATCTGATCAAATAAAATTGCTAAATTCATTGTATTTGTTTCTGTCTTTCTCTCATTTTATCTTCCTCCATTCATTCTTTTAAGATACTCCTTGCCTGTTATGAACCAGACACCACATCAATTGCAATACAATCAACATCTCAATGTTGATATCTATCCTTATTCATGATTATTCCAGTTATACAGTAATTGAGGCTCAAAGAGATTTTGGGTTTTACCAAAGGTCACATTTCTAGTAAGTTAAAGAAGTGAAAAAGTATGGAATAGTTCATACTTTTGCCAGTGCCCCATCCTGTCTGTCCACAGACATCTGGAAGGGAAATTATCTTTGTGGTCCAAAAATATAAATGAAGTATGTGCCCAGTTGTTTGGCACTGCTTTAGATCTGCCCACTGTAGAATCTGCCTGCTCCATCAGGATAGAGGCCTGCTAAGTGTGTGTCCTTGGGTTGGCGGGTGAGAAAGAGGAAGCCCTATCTGGAACAAAGCAACGTAATAACAATGTCAGACATGAATTGCACCTTACACATGTTCCATTATAGATATCTGCCACAGACGATGCTGACTTCTTTAAAAATATCACAAGTGGGTGACCGCTATTATACAAAGCTCTGTGAAATGGAATGACTAATCTATAAACATAAGCATGAGATTGAATAAAATATATATAAAGAAATATATGTGATATTAATTTAGCATAGACAGTACCATATCCCATAGAACTTCTTGCACAATGCAGTGACACACCACTGTGTTATTAATGCTTTGGAAAAATTTATTTATTCTATTCCATTAGTGTATTTTAACAAACATTGCTCTGGGACAGTATGCCTGCCAATTTATGTTTATGAGACTGTCAACATAATTTACATGCAGACAAAAATATGATACAATATTGCCAATGCAGAATCGCCTTGTCAAATGATATTGTCACAAAAAAATGAAACAGTACCCCAGCTGAGGAACCAAGCATATTCATCACTGTTCGCTGCACAGAATTTGAGGTGACACACTGAAATACATTTAATGCCTTTTTTTCATGCATCAAATGAATAAAAAGTGAATGAATGAGGTACTTCTGACTGCCATATACTGTGCAAAAGCAAATAGATTTCTTATTTCCCTCAGAAAAAAAAATAAAAATAATACATGGGTTCCCGAAATAGTTGACAGAATTATATTTATTATTCATTTGGAAAACTGAGTATGCTACAAAAATCACGAATGGTTCTAAAGTGTTTGGCTGCAATGATTGAGACTGTCATGAAAGGAGATGATGGCAAACTAAGAGTTCCTAATCCACCCAGGATGAAGAACAGGTGCAGTGTGGAACAATGGTAGTTGTTTGGCCTAGGACCTTGGGCTAAATAATACAAGAGATTTTAATAAGACTGCTTTTTCTAGAAGGTGAATAATTAGATATATGGACTTGTCTTTTCTCCACTTTGACTACTCCAACTCTAAGGGCATGGTTTCTGGACACTGGTAGGTTCAAGTCCTGGTTCGAGCTGTACATAACTGAGCTTCAGTAGTATGTGAATGCTTCAGTGAAAAGGTTTTCCAATTTTCCCTTTGCTGATGGCTTGTAAGCTCCAGAGATTTCACTGGCCAGGAGAACACCCAGCTTGGTTCCAGGGAGGCCATCTGGGAAGAACACAGAGCTTTACCAGTCTTGAAGGATTTGTTCTCCAGGTACTACCTTTGCTCACTGATGAAAGGCCCTCTGTGCTGGAGGTGTCTTCCTTGCTGTGGGCCATATCATCAAAGGTGAGGCAAGTATACCTGTGGCCTGTCTGCCACAAGCATGCTTGGTACAAAGGGACCAAGCACCCTTGTTCTCGCCATAGTCCCTGTCTCATAGGAATTCCTAAAGTAAGAGCATAATGGCTCTAGTAAACTTCCTGTTGTTAGAACATATGTGCCTAGAAACTATGTTTTTAAGAGGAGAAAAAAGAAATATCCTGGGTTCAGAAACAATGAAAGGAGTTCACATTCAATGTTCACAATCTGCACGGTGCTGGATTAGCAGCAAATTAAGGATCCTGAGTTCTTTCCTGAAACTTTAGTTTAACAAACAGAAATGTTATGAGTAACAAAAGAAGACTGGAGGAACGCTTTGTGTAGGGGTAAGGAAAACATGCATAATTGGAGTCTGAAGCCCTACTCTGCTACATACTCCACAAAAGACACTCTGATCCTTAGTTTCTTCATACATAGAATAGGACTAATAATTACCTCGCAGCTTTGTTGTGACAATTAAATAGGAAATTGTCGACTCACATGAAATGCCTAATGTTCAGCCATTTTCTATGTACAAAAAATAAAAAACTGGCAATAGTATGTAATTCACCTAGCATGATCCCAAGCATATAATAAATGCTTACTGGATACAGGTTTACTAAACATAACATGTTAAAAGTTGAAGAAGCTATGCAAAAGAAAAAAGTTAATGCATTAATATATTACTACTACTGCTGCTACCACTATTACTACTACTAGCCTGCTGGTCTTCGTCAATGATATTTGAAATGGAATCTTAAATATAACATTCCAAATGTCTCAGTACCATGTAAGGCATGTGATGAAACATGAGATAGTCTACCTCAATATGGATTTAAATTTCTGTAGCACATATATAGAACCTTGCCTATTTATCTTTAGGTTCCATGAACATAAGGATTCCTATGAGAAAACATTTTTCCTGAAATTGACCTCTACTTCAAGACATTGAAAACCCTGTTTAAGCTGACACCTCCCATTAGGTAGAATGGAACTTGTCATTTTGCATTTTACACTCTCATTGACAGTATTGTCCAAACAGCAGCTGGCTTCTGCAATTGACACTAGAATTTTACTGCGAATTAATAGCTGGACAGAATAAATGATGGCAGGATGATGTGGGTGCCTAACACACCATTAGAGGTGAAGGGACAGACAGAGCTTCTGAGAGTGAGAGTTCTGAAGCCCAAATGCATATCCAATTCATTAGTTAAGGGGGAGAGGAAAAGGGCAGAGCATGAAGAAGGAAAGTAATGAAAGAAAGAGGCACTGAGACAGGGAGTAGATAAAGGAAGGAATGATAATATAATGGAGAAAAATTACTGTAGAAAAATAGGATGATGCATCGTTAAGAGTCGCCCACACCTGCTGGGTCTGAGAGAGGAAAGTGTTTGCATTAGGCACCAATTGGAATGAATTATATGACACTTTTTCTTTGGCCAGACAAATTTCTTTCTGACCCCAGCTGGTGATCAGATGGTGCCCTGGAGAATGAAGATGACTATCTCTTGTCATTTTGATCTCTGCATTGAATATTACCATTTCTATCCTTACCAAAGATTTAAATCCATTTTAAAGAAACTGTACTAATCATCTTATCTGAATAATAACTTGTAGCCTAATGTATATGGGATATTTTGGGGTGACAAAGGCAGAATTTAAAACAAAGAAAAAATACTCTTTCATGCCCCACTGGCATGACAAATTAAATTATATTTTATCTTGTTTTAATTGCATGGAGTGATACACATATTGGTCAAAACCACTACTGAATTTGATAAATCATTGAGTCTGGAATTTTTCACTAAAAATGCAAATAGATTCAGATGATTTGCTCCAAGCATATTTGCACCTAAATCAGAAAATTTATAGTCTCCAGAAAGACCATTGAAATGTAGAGTCAGATATAAGCTCAGCTGAAATAATTTTAGCATCAGATGCTAAGAGCCAAATAAACTATGTAAAATAATATGAACTTTTTAAAGCCAATGCAAATATGTCAAGACTAAAAAATGTCTCTGAGTGAGAGAACTTTCACACAGCCTTCACTATATCAGTCAATGGCCTTAAATTGTGGCTTTCTATATTATCTGGAGCTCTGGCCTTAGAGCAGAAAGTGGAATCACAAATGAGATACACATTTCATTGTGGTCCTACCTACCATTATATTGACGACTACAATCAGTGTGTTCCTAAAAGGTACTATTGCACTATTGGTGGGTGGCTCAGATGAGAGTTTTGACACACAGACCAAAATGAGTTTATATAGAGATTTACATAAAATCTATGCTATAAAATTTCTTTTAAAATAAATTTATGTAAATATAAATTATTTAAAGAAAAATATTAAATTTATTGCATGTTAATATGTCAAAGTATGTCAAAAATTGTGTGAAAATTGTGACTTTGGTCTCTGAATGATTAAAGTTTGCCAAACAGGAGTTTAGATGAAGGCAGAAGTGGCTGTTGGCCAAATCTCCAGATGGTTCAAATCTAAGAGGGATGGAGCCAAAGTCTGATAAGGGAGCCCTGATGGAGGGGGGGAGCACTAGGCTGAAATTAACAAGAATAAATTAAAATAGTATAAATGCAATTTTTTATATTTTAGCTAAGAAACAACATCAGAACAAGGATGAGGTCATGGGGCCTCTCTTTACTACAGTTTATATGAAAATAATGTATTAATATTATAAAGGTCTTGTCATCGTGCTGGTCTTCACAGTGTATAAATTTTATTTGTCTAACTTTCTACTTTCACCTTTTGTCAGTATAGCTCAATACGAGTCAGAGTCAAGAACTTCCTGGAAGCATAATTTAGGATCTAAATAGAAGAACATAATGGAGAGAAGGGCAGTGTTTGTCCTATTCCAAAAAGAGAGACAGGAAAATAAAATCAAGCCCTGTCGTTTCAATCATATGTTTGATATTGGCGGTAAGAGAAAATAAAATGTTTTTAGTTCCCCAACCTTTCATAACATGGAATCTTCTTTTCTCCTATACTTCTCTCTCTTTTTGTCTGTGTAATCTTGAAATTTATAAATATGTCATTTTTAATATATCATTGATTTGACAATGTTTTTTAAAGTTTAGACTTAGTTTTATAACTAGTTATAAAATATTTTTACTTTTATTTGAAATGGGTTTTCTTCCACCTCTTTGTAACATCTGCATTTCTTACTTTTGGCTTCTATGTCTTCTTCATCTCCTTATCAGAAGGCTATATCTTCAAGAGCATGGGTATGTACACACAGACACCTTTATGTTTTGAGTGTACTTGGCTGATAGAAGATCTGAGCCTTTGCATATCTAAAAATGTTTTCCTATACCTTTCTACATAAAACAAAAATCAAGGAGTCTGGATAAAATAATCTCAATTTACAAAAATGTTTCTTCAAAATCCTATCAATTCTCATCTATTATCTGACTGTTGGTGTTAAAGAGCAAAAATTCAATAATTTCATTACTTTAAGACACTATATTTCTAGTTTTGTCTTTTCCCCGCTAATGAATTCAAATTTTTGTTAGTAAGTTTGTAGGTATTTTATTTAGCTGATCATGCCTGTAATGTTGTGAGACTCTTCAATCTACGTAGGTCTTTCTTCAGTTGAAAAAAATATGTTTGTATTTTCCCCTCCCTGCTACCTGTTTGGTAATTAATTAGTCTTGTGTTGCCATTCCCTGCCCACTATGTTTTTTTTTTTAATTTTGTTACCCTATGGCTTTGCATTTTGAGATTTATTTATTTATTTATTTATTTATTGATGGAGTCTCACTGTCACCCAGGCTGGAGTGCAGTGATGCGATCTTTGCTCACTGCAACCTCCGCCTCCCAGGTTCAAGCCATTCTGGTGCCCCAGCCTCCTGAGAAGCTGGGATTACCGGTGTGTGCCATCATGCCAGGCTAATTTTTGTATTTCTTTTTTCAGTAGTGATGAGGTTTTACCATGTTGGCCAGGCAGGTCTCGAACTCCTGACCTCAAGTGATCTGCCCGCCTCAGCCTCCCAAAGTGCTGGGATTACAGGCGTGAGCCACCATGCCAAGCCAATTTTGAGATATCTAAATTGTTTTTCTACATGACAGATTAAATTGCTGCATCATCACACCTACCTCCTCTGCCTCATCACCCTCTTTGTGCTCTTAGACTTCCTGAGAACTTCCCTCATCTCTCTTTTCATAAGATGTTACCTGTTACCTCTCCAGCACGTCACATTACTACCTCTCCTTATAGTTTTAATTTCTATTTTATAAAGAATACTCTCGCACTCTAAGGAGAAAGACAGTTTCCTACAATTTTCTTCTGGAACTTAGAATACAATATTTTCAGAAATCTCCCCTAGCTTCTCCTGTGTCTGAAGTTGTTTATTTTGGCTGCATAAAGAATCTTCCTCACCCACACAATTCCTCCTCTTCTCATCCTTGAGCCAGTTAAGAATAATTCACAGCCATTATTTGTCAACAGAATATGCAGCTTGTCTCCTTTCACCAAATTTATCATTGCCTATTCTCTATCAAGGGAAAGGAACTACTACCATTGCAACTGTATTAAAATGTTTAAAAAAAATTAGAAAAAATTAAAAACACTTACAGATTGTATTAGTCCATTTTTTAAACTGCTATAAAGAACTGCCCAAGACTGGGTAATTTATAAATGAAAGAGGTTTAATTGACTCACAGTTCAGCATGGCTGGCGAGGCCTCAGGAAAGTTACAATCACGGCAGAAGGCTGAACGGGAAACAAGACACCTTCTTCGCAAGGTGAAAGGAGGAAGTGCCAAGCAAAGGGAGATAGCCCCTTATAAAACTATCAGATCTCATGAGAACTCACTCACTATCACGAGAACAGCGTGGAGGAAACTGCCCCCATGATTCAATTACCTCCACCTGGTCGCTCCCTTGACACCTGGGGATTATGGGGATTACAATTCAAGATGAGACTCAGGTGGGAACACAAAGCCTAACCATATCAAGGATCAACCTTGATACATCTTTCTTGCTATATTCTGGTACATTAGCAAGTCCTGTGGGTTTAACCCTGTAAATATATCATTAATATCTTCATTTCTGTCCTGCTATCATATTAGTCTAAGGCACTATGATTTCTTATTTGAACTCTCTAGATAGCCTCCTAATTTGTTTTTCTATATCTACTCTTCTCTTGCGCAGAACGACCTTTTAAAACTGCAAATGAACTTATGGCTCCCCAGGTGAAAATTCTTCAAGAACTTGCCATCGTTCTTAGGATGAAAAATCAATTAACTTCACATCATCTACAGGATTCTTTATATTCTAGCACTTGCTTCCATCACCAGACCCATCTGGTGCTCTCCCGGTCCGAGCTTTTCCCAGGCTCCTAAACAGAACCTGTTCCTTTCTGCCACAAGATCTTTGCATTTAGAGTTTCTTCTGCCAGGAAGCTCCCTACCTCCACCCTATGCAAAACACCTTGTTAACACACAAACTCCAGTCTGTCAGTTCAAATGACATCCTTTGGGGAAGACTTCCTTGAGATTCCACATAAGAATTAATGCCCCTCTTACCTATTCCTAGACTACACTCTCATTTTCCTTTATAGTACATTTCACAGTGTCAACTATACTTCTGCCATTATTTCACTGTCAGTGTCTTTCATCTCATTAAAAACTCTATGCCATAGTGACTGTTTCTGTTTCAATCAACATTTGTTGAATTCATCATTGAATCTCTGTGTCCTCTTCTCAAAGATGCAGTTGGAAAACAGGTTAAAGTGCAGAATTCCTTATTCAATCCTATATTTCAAGTAGGCTTTTAGCAAATTCTTTCATTCTCTATTGAAATGGCAACTGATGTTTGAGAAATTGCAATTCCTACCATACATTAGAAACAAGGTTCTTCAGCCTTGCCCACCATGACTTCTATCTGAGGACTCATGTTCAGAATGTTGGCTCCACCAGGTTGCTGCCCCAAACCCTCCAGTCAATTTCGGATCTAGCTGAGATTTACATCAAAAGTCACCTCTCTGCTATTGATAAACTGGCCTCTTCAATTCACTGTATTATATCTCCCTGTTTTATTTTCTTCTTCATAACTAACAATTTATTGGTATTATTTGTCTGGCTCCTCCACAAATTTCTTTAGCATAAGGACCCTACCTCTGTTGTTTCCACTGCATTCAATCACAAAGTACAACTGGAAAAAACCAGACTAGAATAAGAGATATAGGA
Source organism: Homo sapiens (assembly GCF_000001405.40). Classification (NCBI taxonomy): domain Eukaryota; kingdom Metazoa; phylum Chordata; class Mammalia; order Primates; family Hominidae; genus Homo; species Homo sapiens. The sequence goes on along the minus strand of NC_000002.12, from coordinate 21,689,566 downwards.
TCATCATAACATCATCAACAAAACCTGGCTTAATTTGAAGCTGCTTTGCGCTCTCTTTGCTTTCCTCTAACCATGCTAATATTAAAAAGAGAAGCCCTTTTCTGATGCATTTATACCATCCTACACAGACCCAGACCATGGGCCCAGGCTAAGATATATTCATGGAATTATGTTTGCAAGGTGAAAAAAGTGTCAAGAAGTGGGAGACTTTCTCTGATCTATTCATTATTTTTCCCTTCAAGGCACCAGGGGAGCCAGAAGAGCAGAAGAGGTGACAGCTGACCAGAAAGAGACTGGCTCTGCAGCCTGGGCAACCTGTCATGGAAAGGTACTGCAGCTGCAGGCCTCAGAGCTGTCCAGAATTACTCTCATGAACATGTTTGGGAAAGAAGTTATGAAGTAGAGGCAAGAGTGTGTTACAGGTAGGAGTCTTTTTAGGGGAGCAATAGGATTGTCCTCTTCTTAGAAATAGATTTTTTTGGCCATGATCCCTTCTTTCTCCTACCAGAACTGCTTAATCCCATTGCCTGAGCCTTCCAGCCTGGAGATTATCCATCATGTGACTAAGAATGAGATGACACCTGTACAGATACACGATTTGCCTCTCAGCTGTTTAGCTGTTTCTATAAGAAGCCTGAGCCGTTAAGGTACTCTCAGGGCAGGAATGACCTAGAAGAGATGGAATATAAGCTCAAGACAATAAGATGGGGGCCTGGTCAAACACCCTTCCTTATGTGAACTAGGAATCTTGGTTATAGCCCATGTTTTTCCTTCTTCTCCAAACCCAGGTGATGATTTTGGTTTAAGAGCCTCATCTATGAGAAATTCCATATCAAAATTATTGCAGGGAGAATAGACCTCTTCCATTATCTAGAACAAAAGTTAGTATTTTCCCCTATGTCTTCTCTTTTCTTTCTTCTGTACTTCCTATTACTTTTGGTGCTGTAGAAAAATTTCTCTGTCCAAAAAGACGTGAAATATTTCAGACATATTTTACCAAGGGTGTGTGTAGCACACATCAACTTGCTTGAGCTTCTCTGATATATAGCCAATGTTTTAATGTTCCCATTTAGCCAATCCATAATACATCTTCACAGTGTTGGCCTAATCACAAATGACAAGGGTGGAAAATGTAATAAAGACAGGGGCACATTAATCTACTTTGTATGAAAATGTGGAAAGGTAATCCAATTTTGAACTGCTTGCTCTTACAAAATATACATAAGTTTGTATGATTTCTGCATCTTAGTTGGGGAGATGGTAGTCAATCCTAAAGAGTTATATTTCAGGTAAAGAGTCCTCAGTCCCTTACATGTATGCACAGAGGTAGTGGCCCATACTGAGAAATAAAGATGGGGACTCTGGGGAATGAGTTGCCTGATGGTCTATTGGAAGCCTCTATATCTGGCAATATTCAGGGGTGTTCATTCCTGTAGGTCTTAGAGAGAGATTCCAATATTAGGGATGCTGTTGTGTCTTCCCCTGCATAGCCCCTAAGGCTAGTTCATATGAAAAGTAAATCTGACTCTGCTCCCTAAAAACAAAGATGAAAAATCCATAGAAGGGAGGTAGATTCAGCTAGAAAGTGTATTTCTAGCAGGGGAGTTGGTGTGAGGGAGAGAATAGTTATGATGAAGTCAGGCTTGTCTTAAACCACATCTGATGTCATTCCAATCACTGTGTGTGTCTGCACTTGTGGGTTGTCTGCATGGCATGCATGAATGTTGATGCATCTGCAGTGCTCTCACCCAGCAGAGAAGCATAGAGAAATGTGAGCTCTGGACTTAAAGAGCGCTGAGTGTTAATCTCACTTTCTATTTGCTCTGCGACATGACTAGCAGTCCAACTCCTCTGAATCCCAGTTTCTTTTTCAGTGAAACAGAGATTGTACTAGTTATCTCTTAGGATTAGTAGAAATACAGGACCCAGAAATTCTATTCTTAGATATCTACCCAAGATAAATACAAACAAAACATAGGCAAATGTGTACAAAAACTTGTACATGGATGTTCATAGCAACATTATTCACTATAGATAAAAGGTGGAAACAACCCAAATGTCTATCAACTGACAAATGCATAAACAAAATGTGGCTTATTATTGAAATAAACAATGGAAAATTATTCAGCCATTAAAAGGAATGAAGTACTGACGCATGCTACAGCATGAATTTGCCTTTAAAACATTATGCTAAGTGAAAGAATCTTGTCACAAAAGACCACATATATGATCCCTTTGTATGAAATGTCCAGAAAACAGAAAGATGTAGTGACAGAAATGAGATTCATGGTTGGCCTAAATTTTTTTCAGTAAAAGCAGCTTTCCTTCCTGTTTGAGGAGGATCGTTTCTTCTTTCTTGTGAACTTATACTGGTTTTCCTGCCATGTTCTTTCCTTACAAGGGCTTCTGATTCTCCTAAGGACATATCTCCACCACGGTTTTTCTCTTCCTCAGCTATAACCAGTATCACATCCTAGCAAGTGACTCCCAGAAGATGAGGTTCACAAAAGGACCTATAAAAAATTATAGTACACACCAAAATAATTGCATGATTTTTCCAATTTATATAAATAGAATCCATGTGTGTGGGAATAGATCCTAAGGCTGTTGGATAATGGTGAAAGGAATATATATAATATTGGACTGAGGATCTGGGAATAATCCTACTAGCTTGTTTGCTAGGTTGACTAAAAGCTGGACATGAAATTGACCTAAATTATGTTAAATGGAAATGCTAAAAATCCCCTGGCATATTGTAAAGGAAAATATCTATTGGCTTAAGAAAACTAGGATGCTAGAGTGGATGTTATTAAGTAAAAACATGCCTTGTTAGTATATCCCCTAGAGGACTCATTCTTCACTAATGCTATGAAAAATATATTGATGAGCAGTCCCCTTGCATCCTTGAAGAACTCTCTGATAGATCCATTAACTACATGAGGACTGACAGTGAAAATTATTGCCATTGAAATGAAGTTCCCCAAATCCACTGGGACTGATGGGCTCCAAGAGTAGCAGGGCCAAGTGATGGTACTTTATCACCAAGATCCAGGTGGTAGTGGGTGTTTTAACCAACTGCAGATCCAAAGCAGTGATCAGATTTATTTTTGGTTAAGTTGATAATGGTGTCCCTAGAACTGAAATCAATGGACAGACTATTAAAATCTTACTTGATATGTCTTAGTAAAACTCTCTAGGTCTGAGAAGCAAAAGTCTGACTTGAATGAGTACAAAATGGAGTCATGGCCCATCAACCAATTCCCAGTTTGGGGCCAATTCACGGGTGCATTACCTCTTGAATGAAGGGGCAGCTGAGCCCCATTGAGGAAAGACGCTGCCACATTGCCAAAATTTACACTACAAGTCTTTCTCTTAACCTTTCCCAAAAGAACTTGTGGCTTAGTTATTTACCAGGGGAAATTGCACTGGAGAAAAGAAACTAATCACACTTTTCAAAGATTACTGAAACAGGTATGAACTTACTTTAATTCCCAGATGCCCAGAATGCTGCTTTGGTCTACTAATCAGAATAGTGAGGAAGGTAGAATGATTAATGGAACTTCACTGAGTTCTGACTTACAGTGGACCCAATGGGTCACCAATCACACCCTGTGTTTATTTCCCCTGTTTTAGAGTACATAATTAGCATAGGTATATCTAGCATCTAGCAGAATCCCCACATTGGCTCTCTAACCTGTAGAATATGGGCTATTATTATAGGAAAAGTCAAGTGAAAATGATTATCACCATCTCCTCCTGCCAAAATAGTAAACCAAATTTAATACCACGTTCCTGGAGGAATTGCAGAGATTAATATCACTATCAAGGATTGAAAGATGCAGGAGCAGTGATGCCTTCTATGTCCCCACTCAACTTGCCTATGCAAAAGACCAATTGATCTTGGAGAATGACAGTGGATTATTGAAAATTTAATCTTGTGGTAACTTCAGCTGTGTATGTTGTTTTATTGTTGGAGCAAATCAACACATCCCCTGGTAACTTGTATGCAGCAGTTGATCTCATAAATGCTTTTTGTCTATACTAATTAGTAGAGGCCATCAAAAACAGTGACCTTTAGCTGATAAGGCCAACAATAAACTTTATTAGTCTGCCCAGGACTAACCTCCCAGCCCTATGTCATAATCTAGTCCTTAGAGTCTTTGATAGCCTTTCTCTTCCATAGTACATGATGCAGGTCTATTATATTATTACTAGGAGATGGTAGTATAGAGGGAATAAATGGTAGTTTTTCTCTGATCTCAGACCTGGCAGCTATTTTAGCTTCTAACATCAGAGTTTATCAGATTCTAACCACGTGAAGAATTACTAGCTTCACAGCTTTGGGCCAAGACACAGTCTTAATGAGACTTATTTTCCTTATACAGAAAAATGAAGATACTAACAGTCCTTCCCTCAGAGTAGCTGAGAAAATTAAATGAGATAATGAATGTGGATACCTAATAATTGCTAAGTAAATGTTGGTTATTTATCTTGGAAGTAGATGTGTTCCAGAAGATAGGAAATAAATCCTACAAAAATTTAGGAACCTGCCACCTCAAATGAAATTTCTAGGTGTCTAGTGGTCTGTGGTATATCAAGATATGCCTTCCAAGAAGAATAAGTTGTGCCTCCTGCCCCTCTTACCATTAATTAAGAACTACAACGCTTATGTGTCTTTTTGGATTTTGGAGGTCATATATACTTTGAGCATGCTATTCCATTCATCAAGCAACCTAAGAAGCTGCCAGGACAAAGGCCCAGAACAAGAAAGGCTCTGCAACAGGTATAGAGAGCCATGCAAGCTCCTCTGCCACTTAGTCCATGAGACCTGGAAGATCGTATAGCGCTTGAAGTGTCTGTGGCAGATAAGAATGCTGTAAAGAGTCTTTGTCAGACTTCTATATGTGAATCTTAGCACAGAGCCTTGGGATTTAGAAGCAAAGCTTTGCCATACACTGCAGATAAATGTTCTCCTTTTAAAAAGCAGCTTCAGGCTTGCTACTCACCCTTAGTGAGGACTGAATATTTAACCATGGGCCACTAAGTTACCATGCAATCTGAGTAACCCATCATGAACTTGATCTTTTCTGACCCACACAGTCATGAATGTAGGTATGCAGAGCAGCATTCGTTCATCAAATGGAAGTAGTATAAAGATTAGGCTTAAGCAGATCTTTGCTACCACTGGAGATACATTTACCCGGGATACAGATTTGCCTTTCTCACTACCTACAATGCTTCTTCCAAACTCACCATCCTTATTTGTCATTATGGCATCACACACAGCATTGCTTTTGACTGAGGAACTCATTTGAGACCAAATAAACTGTGGCATTGGCTCATTCTTATGAACTCCCTAAGAGTTACCTTATTCTTTATCACCCTGAAGTAGCTGACCCAAAGGAACAGTGGAGTGACTATATTTTTCTTAATTTTTTATTGTTATAAAATATAAAAAACAAGAAATTTACCATTTTAACCTTTTTTAACTATACGGTTTAGTGGTAATAAGTACATTCATATTATTGTGCAATCATCACCAAAAACCATCTCGAGAACTCTTTTCATCTTGCAAAACTGAAACACTATACCCATTAAACAATAACTCCCTATTCCATCCCACCCCAAAAAGCCCTACAACCATCATTCTATTTTCTCTCTATGATTTTGAGTATTCTAAGTACCTCATATTAATAGAATCATTCAGTATTTGTATTTTTGTGATTGGCTTATTTTATTTACAATAATGTCTTCAAAGTTAATCTATATTGTCAGAATATTTTTCATTTTAAAGCTGAATATAGTCCATTGGATGTATATATCACATTTGGTTTAGCCATTCATCTCTTGATGAATGCTTAGATTGCGTCTATCTTTTAGCTATTATGAAGAGACATCTAAAAATATCTTTTAGCAATCCCGCTTTCAATTCTTTTAGATAGCTATACCCAGGGCTGAATTGCTGTATCAGATGGCAATTCTATTTTTTAATTTTTTTGAGAAAACATAACACTGTTTTCCACACAGCTGTACCATTTTACTTTCCCACTAATGGTACACAAGGATTCCAGTTCATTCATATCTTCACCAATACTTGTTTTTTTTTGTTTGTTTTTTCAATAGTAGCCTTCCTCGTAGGTATGAGGTATGAGGTGGTATCTCATTGTAGTTCTGACTTGCCTTTTCCTAATAATTAGGGATGTTGAGTGTTTTTTCTTATGTTTATAGGCCATTTGCATAACTTCTTTGCAGAAATGTCTATTCAAGTTCTTTGCTCATTTTTTAATCAGGTTGTTTGTTTCTTGTTGAAAGCTAAAAGTTTTCTATATATTCTTAATATTAATCCCTTAGCAAATACATACTTAAAAATATTTTCTCATATAGTTTGCATTCTTACTTTGTTAACAGTGTCTTTTGACATACAATTTTTAAAATTTTTCATAAAATGTAACTCATCAATTTTTTTGGTTGTTTCATGTGCCTTTGTTGCCGTATCCAAGAAATCACTGCAAAATCTAACACTGTAAATCTATCATCCTATGTTTTCTTCTAAGAATTTTATAGATTTAAGTGTTACACTTAGGTCTTTGATCTATTTTGAGTTAATTTTTTTATACAGTGTTAAGTACAGGTCCAACTTCTATCTTTCGCATTAAGATATCCAGCTTTCCTAGAACCATTTGTTTAAAGATTCCCCTTTAACCACTGAATGGTCTTGCCACCTTTGTCAAAATTATTTTATCATATATATTAAGGTTTATTTCTGGGCTCTCTATTATGTTTCTTTGTGTATATGTCTGTTTTTATCCCAATATCACACTGTTTTGAGTACTGTAACTTTGTTGTAAGTGTGAGTTGTTTAGTTTTGTTCATTTTCAAGATTGTTTTGGCTATTTGACATTCATTGAGATTCCATATACATTATAGGATGGATTTTTCTATTCTGCAAAAAAAGTCATTGGAAATTTGATGGGAATCACATTGAATATGTAGGTTGCTTTGAATGATATTGATATCTTAACAATATTAAGTCTTCTTCCGATCCTTGAACATAAGGTGCATTTCCACTTATTTATGTATTCTTTAATTCTTTCAACAATGTATTATAGTTGTCATTGTACAGGTTTTCTATCCCCTTGTTTAAATTAATTCTGAATTATTTTATTCTTTTTGATGCTACTATATACGAAATAATTTTCTTAATTTTCTTTGCAGATTGTTCATTCTTTGTATGTAGGAATGCTACTAATTTTTGTGTGTTAACTTTGTATCCTGCTACTTTGCTGAAATTGTTTATTAATTTTACATTTTTTGTAGGAAATCTCTAGGGTTTTTTATATATAAGATCAATCATCTGCAAACACACATGACAATTTAACTTCTTCCTTTCCAATTTTGTTGCCTTTTATTTCTTTTCATTGCCTCATTGACCTGGATAGAATTTCCAAAGCCATGTTGAATAGAAGTGCTGCAAGCAGGCATTCTTGCTTGCAGGGATGTTCCTGATCTTAGAGGAAAAGCTTTCAGTCTTTTACCATTGAACATGATATTTGCTGTTGGTTTTTCATATTTAGCTTTTGTTACGTTAAGATAGTTTTCTTCTACTCCTAGTTTATTGAATGTTTTAACATAAAATGGTGTTCAATTTTGTCAAAAGCTTTTTCTACATCAATTGAGATAATTATATTTTTTTTCCTTTCACTCTGTTAATGTGGTGTATTACATTGATAAATTTTTATATTGAACCATCCTTGGATTCCTGGAATAAACACAGTTGGACACGGTGTATAATCAGTTTAATATGCTGTTGAATTCAGTTTGATGGTATTTTGTTGAGGATTTTGTCAATGTCCAGAAGGGATATTGGTCTGTAGTTTCTTTTAGTGTCTTTGTCTGGCTTTGGTAGCAGGGCAATACTGGATTTACAGGATAAGTTAGAAAGTTTTTCCTCCTCTTCATTTTTTTTTAAAGTTTGAGAAAGCTTGCTGTTAGTTCTTTAAATGTTTAGTGAATTCACCAGTAAAGCCATCAAGTCCAGGACTTTTCTGTGTTGGGAGACTTGATTGAATCTCCATCTAGTTATAGGTTTATTCAGATTATCAATTTTCTCATGATTTAATCTTTTTATGTTTTGTGTTTCTATGAATTCATCTATTTCACAAATGTTACCAAATTTCTTGGTATACAATTGTTCATAGTACTCCCCTATAATTCTTTTCATTTCTGTAGAGTTAGCAATAATGTCCCCATTTTCATTTCAGATTTTGGTTGAGACTTTCTTTTCTTAATTCATCAAGCATGTTTGCCAATTTTGTTGATATTTTCAAAGAACAAATTTTTGTGTTTTTTTTTAAATTTCAACTCTTACTTTAGATTCAGGGTGGGGGTACATGTCACATGAGTATATTGTGTGATGCTGAAGTTTAGGGTGTGATTGATCCCATCACCCAGGTAGGTAGTGAGCATAGTACCCAATAGTTAGTTTTTCAACCCTTGCGACCCTCCCTCCTTCCCTCCCTCCCACCTCTAGTAGCCCCCAATGTCGCTGTGAACTTTTGATTTCATTGATTGTCTCCAACTTCTATTGTCTTCTAGACAAATATAGATTGTCTTCTATTCTATATTTCATTTTTTCTCTGTTCTGATTTTTATAATCTCCAATTTATTTGTTCATTCATTTTAACTTTTATTTTAAGTTCAGGGGTACATGTGCAGGTTTGTTACATAGGTAAACTTGTGTCATGGGGATTTTTTGTACAGATTCTTTCATCACCCAGGTATTAAGCCTAGTACCCATTAGTTATTTTTTCCGGATACTTTCCTTCCTCTCACCCTCCACCCTCCAATAGCCCCCAGGGTGTGCTGTTCTCCTCTATGTGTCCATGTGCATGTGTTCTTATCATTTAGCTCCCACTTGTAAGTAAGAACATGTGGAATTTGGTTATAATCTCCATTTTCTGCAAGCTTTTGGTTTAGTTTGTTCTTTCTCTTGTTCCTTGAGATGTAAAGTTAGACTGTTGATTTGAGAACTTTTATGTTTTTTAAAGTAAGCATTTACAGCTATAAATGAAATTTATGGCTGCTTTAGCTGCACCTAATAAGTTTTGGTATATTGTGTTTCATTTTAATTTTTCTCAAAGCAGTTTCTATTTTTTCTTGTTATTTCTTCCTTGATCCACTGGTTTTTAAGAGCGTATTGTTTAATTTCCACAAGTTTGTGAATTTTCCAGTTTTACTTCTATTATTGACTTCCAATTTTATCTCATTGTGGTTGAAAATACTTTGTATGATATCTATTTTTAAGTCTATTAAGTCTTATGTTGTGGCCTAACATTTGGTCTATCCTGGAAATTTCCCTGTGAAATTGAGAAGAATGTGTATGATGTTGTTATTGGATAGAGTGTTTTGTACATGTCTGTTAGATCTAGTTGGCTTATTGTGTTGAGCCCTCTGTTTTCTTACTTATTTTCTGTCTCGTTGTTGCATTCATTATTAAGAATTGGGTAATGACATCTCCAACTATTATTGTAGAAATTTCTCTTTCTCCCTTCAATTCTGTCTGTTGTCTGATGTATTTTGATGTTCTGTTATTAGGTGCAAAAATGTTTATAATTATATCTTTTGCTGGATTGAAACTTTATTAACATATAATGTGCTTCTTTGTCTCTTGCAATTTTTTTTTAATTTCAAGTCTATTTTGTCTAACAAAAGTACAATTACCCTTGTGGTTTCAGTTACCATTTGAATGGAATACCTTTTTCCATCCTTTTACTTTCAATTTATTTCTGCCTTTGGATCAAAAGTGAGTCTCTTGTAGACAGAATATAATTGAATCATGGCTTTTAAAAATCTATTTTGTGAATTTATGTCTTTTAACTGAGAATTTAATTCATTTATAACTACAATAATTACTGATAAAAAGGGACTGTTGTTTTGCTCTTTGTTTTCTCCATACTTTATAGCTTTTTTGTTTGTCATTTTTTGAATTTCTCTTCTACATATTCTTTGTGTTTAGTTGATTTTTCTGTAATGAAATGTTTTAATTCCTTTCTCATTTCCTTTTGTGTATATTCTACAGATTTTTCTATGTTTCCATGGGTATTACATGAAACACTAAAGTTACAGAAATTTAATTTAAATTTATAACAGCTTACCATACAAAACTATTCTTTCACAGCTCTGATCCTGCACCTTTTGGATGTTGATATCACCAAATTGCATCTTTATAAACTAATAGTCTCTTTGTTACTACACTAATCTCTTAAACTATGTAGAAATGAAGTGTGAAGTTATAAATTAATGTTGTTATAATACTAGCTCTTATAATTGTCCATGTGCTTACCTTTATTGAGATCTTTATTCCTCAATTTTTTTATTTCATACAGCTTCTATTTATTCCATTTCACTCGGAAGGACTCCTTTCAAAATTTTTCACAGAGCAGGACTAGTGGTAACAAATTCTATCAGCTTTTGTGTCTCTGGAAGTCAATTTCTCTCTTATTTTTGAAGGATGGTTTTGCCAGATACTGGATCCTTAGTTGAGGTTGTTTTCATTTTTTTTCTTTTAGCACTTCAAATATATCATCATATTGCCTCTCCAAATTTTCTGATGTAAAATCTACTGATAATCTTATTAAGGATATTTTATTGTTTGTGACAAGTTTCTTTTTTATTGCTGCTTTTTAAGATTTTTTCTTGCTTTTGACAGTTTGGTTTTAACATGTTTTGGTGTGAATCTCTTTGATTTCATACTACTAGTACTTTATTGACCTTTTTGGGTGTTCATATTCATGTCTCCCATCAAAGTTGAAATATTTTGAGCCATTATTTCTTCAAATATTCTCTGCACTCCTTTCCCTTTCTCTTTTCATTATGAGATTCCCATAATGTTTAAGCTGGTCTGCTTGATGGTGCCCCACAGGTCCATTAGAATCTTTTTAATTCTCTGCAATTATTTTTTCTCTCTGTTCCTCAGACTTGATAATTTTCATTATCTTATTTTCAAGTTCACTGATTCTTTATTCTTTCTGATCAAATCTGCTTTTGAATCCTTCTGGTGAATTCTTATTTTAGTTATTGTATATTTCAGCTCCAGAATTTCCTTTTGGCTTTTTAAAAAGGTTTTCTGTATCCTTACTGATATCTTCATTTTGTTCATACATTGCTTTCTTGACTTTCTTCATGTATTTCCTTCATCCTTTGAGCATTTTTAAGACAGTTATTTTAATGTCTTTGTCTAGTAGATCTGGCATCAGGCCTTTCTGAGGGACATTTTCTGTTGGTTTCTTTTTTTCTTTTGAATGGGATATACTTTTCTGTTTCTTTGTATGCCTTGTGACAGTTTTGTTGAAACTGGACATTGGGATCTAATAATGTAGTAATTCCATAGATGAGATTCTACCCCTTCCCTGGGGTTTTCTGGGGATTTTTCTTGGGTTTTGATTGGTTTGATTGCTGTATGATGTATCTGTGCCAAGAATAAGCCATGAGTATCCACTTAAGGTCTTTTCAGGCATTCTTTTGACCCTGTACCTTTCCTTGGGCATGCATGGTGACTTTCTAATGTCCCCCATATATGGAGCTGCTTTGAATATCCTAATCTTTAATGTATGGCTTCCAATGGGAGAAAAAAATAAGTAAATGAAGAGGAAATAAAAAGGTGATAGTCCTTTAATTCTCTTGGAAGACATACCACCTGGAGTGGGAGGGGCTTGCAAAAATGAGAGGAGGTGCAACAACATGTCCCCAACTCTGTGTCTGAAACTCTATGATCAGGAATAACAATTAGTGATTAGAACATACATCCCCAATATTTGGGGCAATAAAAGTGTCCTTATTTCCCACTCCGACTCCCAGAAGCTGTCGGCTGCTCTAGGAACATGTGCACAGCTTCGTGTTACAAGGCTGGGAGTGAGAGATCAGTAGTTACTGCCTAGCTAAGAACTGAAATTGAGTAAAATTAACCACAATTTACCATTTAAGCCTTTGCCCTGGAAGCCTTCAATTGTCTCCAGAGTTCCAAAAGAGTTGTGTCGGCAGATTCCACCAGTGTAATTATTATCTGAGTGGGGACACAGATTTCTAGTATTTCCTGCTCTGACATTTTCCAAGAATCCTCCTAAAATGACCTTTTGAAAACTCAGGGTGCTTGCTGGGATAATATCGTGAAGGATGCAGTACAGACCTAAATTGGCAACCAACAAATGGTGTGTTTCTCCTATTGTCAATATTCATAAGCTCAGGGAACAAGGGGTAGAAATGGAAGTAGCTCCTCTCACTATCATTCCGAGTGATCCACAGTAAAATATTTGCTTCCTGTCTGCACAGCTTTGGGCTCTGCTATTCCAAATGTCTAGAATTCTTAGTTCTAAACTGATAGTCATTTCTACCAGGATACTCAGATGGCTTCCCTGCCTGAAGGTTAAGCTTTCCCCTGGCCATTATGTAAGTAAACGGACAAAGAAGGGAGTTATGCATAGATATGCATAATTCATCCTATCAAGAGGACATTGGATGACATCTTAACAATGGGGTTAAGAAAGAATATGTATAGAATGCAGAGTGAGGTCCACTGAATACTCCCAAGTCCCTTGATTAAAGTCAAAGAAAAGTAATATAAAAAATATCAATAGAGAGGGCTGCTAATGACCCACTTTTCAGGTATGAAGATTTGAGTCACCTTATTGGCAATGAACCAAAAATAGCCAAGGAGCTTACTGAAGGCAAAAGGAATGTGCCATGGACAGTGGAAGAAGACAATTATAAAAACTAACTATGATCAAGGGACAAATTGTAGAAATGAGATCTGCAACAGTTATGTTAATTTGTTGTTTTCATACCAATATGTTTGTGTTTATATCATAGAATTTTTATTCTCTCATTTCTCTACCATTTAACATAATATATGTTAAAAGTGAGTAGAGAGAAAAACAACACAGAACACTTGTGTTGTGTGTGTGTGTGTGTGTGTGTGTGTGTGTGTGTGTGTCCATGTCCCCACACTGGCCAATTCAATTCAGACATTAATTGGAGTTAGCGCAGGCCCCACAGAGAAGGAGTTCAATCCTACAAAACTGGCCTTCACTTCAGATGCCAATTGGAAGTAGCAGGTCCCCAAGTCAACCACAACTTCTGTTTGACTCGCTATAGATTGGAAGTTCCCACAACCCCCTTCTCACTATTGTCAACTTATTATGGAGTATATCTTAGTGCACACAATTGAACAGCCAGATGAAGAGATTCACAGGGCATGGTTCAGAAGGTTATCAAACACAGGAGTTTCAAACTCCTTGGAGTTGAAGTGTGCCTCCTCCCCAGCCTGTGGATGTGTTCTTATTCACCAACCCAAAAGCTCTTTGAACCCTGTACCTTAGGAATTTTTATGGAGGCTTTGCTATGTAGGCATGATTGATAATTAACTCATTATCCAGCCCCTCTCTCCTTCCTGGAGAAAGTTGGGGGTAGACCTGAAAGTTATAAGGTTCTAATTATGGCTTCATCTTTCTGTTGGCCAGCCTCCACCCAGGAGCCCACCCAGAGTCATCTCATTAGAACAAAAGTGGCCCCCATTACCAGGAAATGCCAAGGAATTAGGAATTCTGTGTAGGAAGTAAGGTCAAAAACAAAACATGCACCCAGCACAGAGGTTGTAGGAGGTCTGTGCCAAGAACTCAGGGCAGAGACAAAAATTCCTATTTTTTTTATTATGTTGCAAGTAATTAACCTCACATCTTACTATTTAACCTATAGGATCTCAAAAATATAAATATAACTCAGTTAGAAGATAAATATATTACCCAAATATGGATAAACAGATTTTGTATCTTCCTTTGGGAAAAGAGTCAGCTTGTTTGTACCCTAGGTTCTACAAAGGGTATTTGTATATTGACCAGGGAAAACATGATTTTGCTATTGTATTTATTTGGAAATTAAATACAGTTTTTAAAGATGATGATAAAGATATGAATGCCAAGCTAAAAAGTGGTGGACTATAGTGGATTCACCTTGTGTCCATTTAACTAATATGGAGCATGTTTCTTGTAATTCCCTACCCTGAATAGTTCTATGTCAGTACAGGCAACTGGAGATACTTTGCATGAAATTTGGAAACCGGAAACGAAGGAGCAGTCATGTTCCTCTAAGTCTTCAAAAATCAGTGTAGGGTGGCTTGTTTTGCCAGGTAGGTACTTTGCTGATTATCTGCTGGCTCACCTTGTTGGCACGGAATAGCAGCAAGGCTTGCTGCTCTCCCAGCTTTCAACCATCCCCTCCTTCATGACTCGTGGGCCATGTGTGTTTAACATCATGAGGAAGAGAGCAAGCTTCTACTGTAGGTCACCCACATCACTGAAGACAGTGACAGCCTATGTCGATTCCAGTCTCTCTTCATGGGTTCTGGTTTATTCCCACAAGTTTCAGTTTCTCGTTGCTCTGCCCTACTTTATGTGCCTCTTTCTTTTTTAACTTTCTGCCATTCTGATTTCAGACCCCTGTAGCAGACACAGAAGCAATAACCTTAAAAATACTGTTCAACCAACTTCCATAATTGTATAAGTTTAAATCCCTACAAAAATCTTTTTTATGTATTATTCCTGTTGGTTCTGCCTCTCCTATCAAGTCCTCACTGACATATTGATACTGGGCCATGGCACTGAGGTTAGAACACTCCCACTGGACTTCTCACCTCCAAGTGGACATCAGTGAGCTCAGAAAGTTCATGGGCAGGAAGAGACTAGGTGCTTTGGATAAGACTTCCTAGTAAATCCAAAAAGTGGGGATTACAGCCTTGGCTCCAGTATTGAAAGAAGTATATAAGTTCCCAAACCAGAAGGAAATATAATCCAGTTACATTTAGAATTAATTTACCATGCTGTTTATGGTCAAAACCTAAGAAAGGTGAGAGGAATGTGTCCACCAATCCATGTGTTAACCAAAATGGCAGGAATCCATCCTGGGCCAGATGACTCTCAGGGCACTATAGCTAATTGTTATGGTCCATGCAAGCAAGTTTCAGGTGGGAGGACCCTGAAGACAAAGCCCAAAGAGAAACAATATTATCTGAGAATAATCTGAAACCCCATGTTAGGCTCATAGTCTCTCAGCCAGTGACAGTACGGAACTCTCCCTGAAAATGGCAGCCCTCAGTCAGTGTGGACCTAGGACAGCTTCCTTCATCAGTTTTCTGGCAGTAGAAGAACATATTGAGAATAACACAGGCTAGCCAAATCTATGAAAGGCTACAGAGGCGCTGATTCAGGGAGAATTCTGGAATGGAGTCTTGACCACCTTTTCTAGAGTTTATACCCCATAATTATCTGCCAGAGAAGTCATTCGCATCCAGTGGCTGTGAATGCTGGAAGGAGCCCCAAGAACACTCTAAAAGCCTCTGAGTTGGGATTACACCAAGGGGACTAAGGGTGATTTACTGAAGCCAGACTCCTGGAAACCAGGGCAGGTTTTCTAGGTTGATCTATGCTGGTACCATGTAGTCTGGCTGAGTAGGTTCAAGGTTCAGGACAGGGTTAGGTGGTATAGAGGACACTTTGGCACATTCAAGGGCAAATTTTCCTGGCTAAAGTTCAAGAATAGACATGTATCTAGAGCTAGAGAGAATAAACAGACAGAATAACCAACAGTAAATGCTAACATTATCTTAGATCTGCACAAATATTTTCTATTTTAAAAGGCGCTTCAAATATTTATTGAGCCCTAACGCTACAGGCATAGTTCTATACACTAGAGTATGGTTGTGATGCAAAAAGATAAAGAGGCTGTCTTCATAAAACTCACTCTCTTGTGAAAGGCAGACAATAAACACATAAACAGATAATTGGTGTTATGGACAATGAAATGCAGGACAGGGGGTAGAGGGTAGTGATAGGAGTTCTATTTTACAGAAGAGGCTTAGGTGAGAGCTCTCTCAGAAAGTAGCATTTGTGCTGAGTTCTGAAAGAAGGGAGGATGCAAACCACACAAATATCTGTGGGAGAAGGGGGAAAGGTTTGTATAAGACACAAGTGACAAAGTTGGGATTTGAATCCACAGTACTTGATTTATCAACTTTCATTTTTCCTTCTTCCTTTGGCAACACTCTTATTCTCCATGAATGGTGACTTCAATCCCTGGCAGATTTTCCTTTAAGAATTTTGAGTACATTAAATTGGTATTTGGCGATCTGGACCAAGCTATGCATTGTGTTTATACTTGCTCCCAACTTCCTCCACTCTGCCTCCCAAGATAACTAAAGTTCATTTTAATGGGGACAAGGGTATCTGATGCAATGGATCTCAACACAAGTCCACTAGAGGTAAACCAGTATATGAAAGCCTATGAGGCATTCTGTAACATGGCCTTTCTGACATTAAATTGCCTCTGGAACCCTTTTATCTGTGGCATCCATCGCCATCATATGGCATGAGTGTTATAAGAAATACACTTTTGAAAACATGAATGTAAAGGATGGGAGCCTCTTCTGAGCTGAGTGACCTTGTGCAAATATCTTTTGCAAATCCAGACTTTCCACGTTTCTAGATGATGGAATCTTGGACACTGCAAGGATCTCACAGTTGCCTGATGTTTGAACTGCCTTCCTTAAACAGCTTTTTGATTGTTGTTGTATGTAAAAGCGTAATAGTGCAGCAAAAGTTCATTTCCTTTCTTAATTTTGTCAGAAACTACCTGCCTAGAAAGCACTTGCAGAAACTCATCCCATGGGG
This sequence comes from Homo sapiens, assembly GCF_000001405.40. Taxonomy (NCBI): domain Eukaryota; kingdom Metazoa; phylum Chordata; class Mammalia; order Primates; family Hominidae; genus Homo; species Homo sapiens. The sequence goes on along the minus strand of NC_000002.12, from coordinate 21,672,851 downwards.
AGGGAGAAAGATATTAGTGAGGAGAAAGATGCTCATCTGCTTTTATTATTCTGCTCTCTCAAATCACTAGCTTTCGTGAAACAGAGCAGAGGTCTGAATGTGGTTTCTTCTAAGCATTTTTTTTTGTAAGCTCTTAATTGAAATATAGCCTTTTAAAAAAAGCTCACAAATAAGCATAAATGTTGGGCTTGGTGAAATTTTAAATCCTGGTTTAAGAAAAATAAAAACCATCACTAACGTCTCAAAGTTCCTATTGGAGTCTCACCTATACCTACCCCAAAATATACCTGTCATTCTACTTTAAATACTGTATTTTAGTTTTATACAAATTGAACTGGAAATTTTCTGCCTGGCTTCTTTTGTTCAACATTATTCCTTGTGACTCATCTATGTTGTTACATGTAGCAGTAGTTTATTCATTCTCTTTCTCATTGCTTGTAATATTCTATTGTATGGATTTCCTACCAGTTCTCAAACCAACCTGCTATGTTTTACAGAGTGGTGTCTGACACGGGTTTAAATGCAAAGCTGTCAAACTCTAATGACCTAATTTATTTGAGGAAATATGAGAAAAATGTGGGGGAAGGAGATAATGCTAGAAATCCAGTCTGGATTATTCTTGACACAAAAATTATAATGATTTTTTATTGACATGAGGGACATATTATTTCAGTAGAGTATTTCACTTTCTACTGAGTATGGACCATGTGACACACTAGATTGAAAATGAATTTCAATTCACACTGATCAAACCTATAATTCCTTGGGTGCTTCTGTTGGCCCCCCACATTAAGTAGCTGAGATATTGAGTTTTCCTGTAAGGAACTGAAACAAGAAACCACTGAATCAAGAGAGTGATTGGTAAGGAAAGCTGAGATCAAAACTGTGGATCCCAGCATCTGGAATGGGTACACCTGAGAAACCATTTCTACAGATGGAGATATGTCCTCTATTGCTGTATGCATGTTCTTTGTATCAAATAAATCTTCCTCCTCTCACTGTGGTGGTCTTCATGCCTGACATTTCTCATTCTGGTTATAAAGACTATGCAGCTCTCTAAGCCTACATTTCCAAATCTGTAAAATGAAGATAATACCTATTTCCAAAATATTGTTGAGAGCACTAAATATGTCAACTTGTACACAATGACAGGCATTGTAAATACCTATTTAAAAGTAGCCTTTCAGATCTTTAGATACCTTTTCCAGCAGACATTGTCCAATTAATATTGCAAATATTAAGTTGAAAAATATCAGTGAAAGAATAAACTACTGATTTTCTACTTGATGAGTACTTTGTGCACAGAGTTAAGCACTGACATTCTGTATCAGACAGAAGCTAGGAAAGACATTAATATGTCATCTCTGGCATTGTCCCTGTCCTGAGAGACCTGCCCAGAGCCCCTTTCACTCTGAGTTATGGAGTATTTGGTCTGGCAGCTCTATGGTCCACTGAGCCGGGTTAGGGTCACCACAGTCCTGGATCCTTTATGAAATTTCAAACCCCGAAGGCTGTAAGGAACTGTACAGGACATGTGACCCAACATCCTCCTGGGGGTTTTGTCTATGGCATCCTTGACAGGGGTCTTTCACCTTCTGTTTGGATGCCATCGGTGACAGGAAGTGCTGTACCTTACAAGGAAGCCTGCCCTGCTCTTGGGCTCCTCTGATTGTCACCTGCTTCCTGCTCACAATAAACTGAAATAGTGTCTTCCTGTAAGTTCCATCCATTTGTCTTCCTTGTGACTTCTGGAGGCCACACAAACTGCCTGCACCCTCTTACATGTGACAGCCCTTCAGAAAGATTTTCTCTCTGTTTGGAGATACATCATTCACCAAAACGATGCCTCACAAGTGATCCTCACTCAAGCCCCTGGGGAGTTATATAGTGTCTCTTGAAGAGTATCTAGAGTAGAGGAGTGTGCATGTGTGTTTGCGTGTGTTCAATTTTATATGTATTTGAAGTAAGATGTTCGTAAATGAGAGTCACCAAAAACTTGTGTTTATATGAATATAACTTGATAAGGAAATATAAATAGTCCCAAATTAAAATTCATCAACATGTTGAGTCTGTACTGCTAGAGGATCTGGAAGCGGTGATAGTTTTGTAAGAAATGGGGAAAGCGTGCTTAAAAATACTGGTTACAGAGTCAGGCCGGGCACGGTGGCTCACGACTGTAATCCCAGCACTCTGGGAGGCTGAGGCAGGTGGTTCACGAGGTCAGGAGATCGAGACCATCCTGGCTAACATGGTGAAACTCCGTCTCTACTAAAAAAATACAAAAAATTAGCTGGGCATGGTGGCGGGCACCTGTAGACCCAGCTACTTGGGAGGCTGAGGCAGGAGAATGGCATGAACCCAGGAGGCAGAGCTTGCAGTGAGCCGAGATCGTGCCACTGCACTCCAGCCTGGGTGACAGAGTGAGACTCTGTCTCAAAAAAAAAAAAAAAAAAAAAGGCTACCGAGTAGTCAAACTGCTTCAGTGAAAACTTTGATTTTCTCTACCCTTTAATAGCTCTGTCACTGTGAGCAAAGTTCTTATCTCTCTGAGCTTCCGTTTCCTTATCTATAAATTGGGTTTTCTTGAGAGAATTACATGATAAAATTATTATGAACATTTTAGTTCAGTTTAACGCGTAGTAAACAATCAATAAAAATACACTTTATAAGTTATTATTTAATGATTACCAACATTCTTGAGCATCTATGACCTCATGTTAGCACAATAATCTGAACTCTATTCTTTCCCCCAAAAGTCCATCACTTATCCAAGGCCACATAAGTGGCAGGAGTCAGGGTGAGAAATCAAGTTTAAAGCACTCGATTTTAAAATCTGTGCTTTTGTTACTAAGCCCATGCTGCGTGTATGTCACAGGCCTGATGAAATAAGCAAACCAATTCTTTGGCAAAAATTGAAACCCATTCTTCCAAACAGTCCCCACAGGTGATAATACATATATTACAAGATTCCTCTTTAGAATGGATTTCAGAGCTGGTGAGAACCTTTTTTTCTTTTTAAAATTTTCAGTGGTAGCAAATTGTGTCCTTTGTTGCCAAAAATACAATTCACCCTCATCAGAAGCCATTCAGTCAACTCTGATGAATAAGCCGGGTGATGAAGCAGGGGGATAATTTTATGTCACACATGGCAACATGCCTATGAAGTTGAGCCCAATTTCCTTATGTGACACGTAAATGGGCTCCAAAAGCTGTCCCCAAAGAGGACTTTCCTCACTAGATTAAGCCTACACCTTAGGCTAAAAAAGAAAATTTTTTCAGAAAAGGCAGCATTCATTTGAAGTCGTAAGTTCCTGTTTATTTGCTAACAACGTGTCAACCTCATTAATTTGTCTGAACACATCAATTTTATACAAGGGGTCTTAAAGACATTATGCTAAATCCTGAAGATACAAAGACAAGGTCTCTTCCCACAAGGAATTTAAAATGTAGCCAGGGAAAAAGAAAGGAGAGTAACGGGGTCATAGGGATAGATTTATGCATAGGGCACTGAGATTACTAAGGAGGAGTTTAGGCTCAGGGAGGATATTGCTGGCCTTGTTGGAAATGGTGACAACTTACTGGCTTTGAATGGATATCTAGGAGTTAGGCAGCAAGACAGTGAAGAGAGAGGAATTTTAAACAGATAAAGCAGAATTAACAGAAGTCCAGGGATGAAACAGAATGGAGACTTGAGCAGCTACAAGATTATAGCTATAAAATGGGGAGTGTTTCTGGAGCTGCATTGAAAAACATTTATAGAACCAGGCAGGAGCAGTATCAACCAAAGGTTGTACTTGAAGTGTTTAGAAGTTTAGCTTTAACTTGGAATAGTAAACAAGACTATGAAAACCCAATTTTACAGGCCAGAAAAAGTATTCTAACAGCAGCATGGCGAGACCAGAGTGAGGTAATATCAGGCAGAGGCTGTAGCAAAAATAAAGTTGAGAGGTCATGAAGACCTGGAGGGAAGTGATGACAATAAGGATAAAAAAGAAGGTGTGGATTTTAGGTAGGATTGATAAGAGGATGAACTAAGAGGACTTGGGAACCAACTGGAAGTGGCAAGTCAAGGAAAGAGATAGATACACAAAGGGCATTTTTTTATAAAAATTAAAAGAAAAATTTGGCTCACTAAGGGCCCTTCTATTTTTTGCAAAGTTTTAACGTTATCAGAGGGGATATCCATGCACTAATTTCTGGAAGAGTCTATAAAATACACACACACACACACACAGAAAAAAAACCTGCATACCGAATACATTTCATTATTTTTAGTCAATCTCAGGGCCATTACATAGAACGTAAGTGATGCATGAGGCCAGAAATAATTTTAGACCTCTGTGTTTGGCATTTATTTAAGGTTATTATCAAGAGATAATAGACTATGTGCTCCTTATAATAGAGCTGTAGAGTTTTTAGAAATTAAAGTAGCAAGTAGTGAAATGCCTTGTGCATGGCAATGATATTTAGCTTCTTCTCTTACTTTCTTTCTGAGATACCAGGTCCAAGGTGATTTTAAAAAGAGGCCTTGGAGACTGCTGTGAGTTCCCCCACTGATTTCATATACACTGAAGGCTTCAGGTGTGCTCTCAATAGCGCCTATTGTTAACCAGTTTTAAAGGGGGAGGCTTTACTGGAAAAAAAAATAGTCATTGTTTTTCTCTCAGGCTGAGAGAAAAACAGCAACCAACCAAAGACCTATGTTTTGTCACTTTCACAACCACCTTATTGCAGGCAGAAGAAGTATCTTAAACAAAGACACGCATGTTTTTTTTTGTTTTTTTTTTTTTGTTTGTTTTTTTAAATTTCTTTTGGAAGGCTTGTTCTACTTCCTTAAACCCTTTTGGCAAAAAAAAAAAAAAAATTGATTAACTCCTTCGTCATGAAAGATAACTTACAGAGAGAAGAGCCCAGAAGAGTGCAAGGAGGGTTCGGTCGTGATCTGGGAGCAGCAGGTTTGGTTGGGCGGGAGGTGAGGTCACTAGGACACCAGTAATGCAGAGACGAGAAAGGGTACTGCAGAAGAGCTGTCCCTCTCCTAAGTTCAAGGTCTGGCCTACAGAAGGGCCTTGTTTCTAAGCACCCTGAGAGAACATCCATTCAAGTAGTTCTTCTCTCTAAACAAGCTACATTGCCTATTGGCTTCTGAAAGTTATATTTGGCCCCTTCATTGCTTCAGGAAGTTTGCTATGAAATTTCAGGATGATGAATGGAAAATGGACACATTCCTTGCCCTGCACGAACTCATCACTTGGTGATGAGTTCTGTCATAATGCTAACCCACTACACTATAGATGGATAGGGCTATGTATCACAAAATTAGTACAAGTAAAAAGCCGAAGGAACAAGGAGGAGAGAATCGGCATGGGCTTCCTGGAAGAGAAAATTTGAACAGCACCTTGAGGGATATTATGAGTTACACAGGCAGAAGTGGGGCAGAGTGTTTCACCCAAGTGGACATTGTGCTGAGAGGGCTGTATATTGCATTTGTCCATAGTAAAGGCATTATTCTTTGGCTTCAAAACCAAGTGGCCTCCCCATGTGTCACAACTGAGTAGGTAACACCAAGACCTCCAGCACTTCCTAAAATATCTGTCCATCTGCTTAAAGGACATCACTGAATCTAGCCTTAGAGAATTAAATGGACACTTACTGATTCATACCAGTCTGAAATCTGCCAACGAATGAGATGATCAAAGGGGGTGAGAAGGGAGAAGTATTTTGGGAACCCAGAGCACTTATATTTAGAGCAGACATGGATTGAGGAGCAAATCTGCCAAGTGACAAACTGGAAGTAATTTACAGCACTCTAGGTTAAATCACAGCACATCTTAATCTCTTTTTTAGACCTTCTATTTCCTCTTTTCCTCACTTCTCAGTGTGACACCAGCATGCCTAGATTTGGTCTAAACCTCACTCTGCTTCAGTGTCCCCTGAAGATTACAGGAGGGTAAAACTGTACCATAATGTGGAGATAGACTGAAAGAGGTCCATAAGGAATAATAAAGAAAAGAGTCACGTTTGATCTCAGGATGTGTTTCTTCTTTATTGCAGGGACTCTGGCAATTCTAAAACAAAAACCAGATCTAGACATGTAGGGGTTTCCATTATATGAAATCTTTTGAGAGACACAGATCATCCAAGTCCATCTGTTGTAAAGAGTGGAGAATGTTTGTGTGCTGTGAGGGCCATGCAGGAGGGTGCCACAGTGTGGGGGTGTGGGTTTTAGTTCCTCCATGATGTGGGACAGGGCTGAGATTATTGGTTCTCAGCCATTCCAAGAAGGAATATATCGTGATTGCCCTGCTGGCTCCCAAGTCTATTGTGTAAGAGTCTGCTGCATGCCTTCGTCCTGGTACTCTGAGACCACAAGATAGATATGACATATATTTCTGGAGCAACTTGAATATTAAGTATTGGAGGAAAACTCATCTAAATGATCTTTCTTAAAACTGCTAGTATTTATTGAGCATCTTCCAACTACTTAGCACTATTCAGTGTTCTATGTGAACTAATTTATTTTTTCACTTCAACAATAAGATAGGAATTGCTGTAATCCTTGTTTTAAAAATTAGAAAACTGATGTACAGAGAAGCTGAGTAATTGGACCAAGGTTGTGCAGTATTAAGTAGTGAAGTCCAATTGTGGACTCAGTCTATTGATATAAATATGTTGGGGCTTAAAATGCAAAATTCACACACACACAAAATAAGATTTCATGTGATAAGTCAAGAAAATGGCAAATTTTCTATGTGGTTCTCAGGGTAAGGTCCTTACTCTTCTTTGCTTAAGAATATTTTTTATACAAGAGTTAAAAACTTACTAATTTGTGTATGCCAAGTCATGTATCCAGCACCAGAAAGAGTTGGAGATAAATGTTAGATATAATCCCTACTCTTAAAGAAATTGGGGAAGAAAATGAACACACAGGCAAAAGAGCAAACAACACACAAGTGATTTTGAGACAGCTAGCTCCAAGTCTTGTTGATGTTCACAGGAAGATGGGGACTGTGTAGCCTTGATTAGTCAGGGCTTATTTCCAGGAGCAGTTAGAGTTAAAGCAGATCCTTATAAAAAAATGCAGAATTTTTTTTGTTTTGTTTTGTTTTGTTTTTTTAGAAACAGTGTCATTCTGTCACCCAGGCTGGAGTGCAGTGGCCCAATATCAGCTCACTGCAACCTCTGCCTCCCAGGTTCAAGCATTTCTCATGCCTCGGCCTCTTGAGTAGCTGGGATTACAGGCATGCACCACCATGCCCAAATAATTTTGGATTTTTAGTAGAGATGGGGTTTCGCCACATTGGCCAGGCTAGTCTCAAACTCCTGACCTCAAGTGATCCACATGCTTCGGTCTCCCAAAGTGCCAAAGTGCTGGATTACAGGTGTGAAACACCATGCCTGGCCCAGGAAATGCAGATTTACATGGGGACGGAGAAAGCCCAAGGAAAGTGCAAGCTTAAACCTAGGGATACAAGTAGGATTAGGACTGGAAACAAGGGGGAAACAAGTCATGAGAGGCAGGAAGGATCGATATTATTCATTTGGAGAAAAACTTTGTTAGATATGGTGAAAAGCTCTTAATGAAGTCCTTGGACATCATCCAGCTTCTCCCTTTATGAACATTTATTGAATGCTTTCTGTATTCAGGCATTGACATCGCAGTCTAGACTTGATCTAAAGAGCGAGGAGATTGGTGAGGCCCTATGTATAGGGCTAGAAGGTGTCATGGTGACAGTGGTGTTGAGAAAGGTTGAATAGAATAGAAAAAAAGAAGTGGGTAATGGGTGATCAGAACTGTCAATAGGTTGTTTTGCAATAATCCTGTTTGGAGATAATGAGAGCCTAGACTAGGAAGAAAGAAAAGGCCAGGAGCAGAGAGGGCACATTTGAAAGATGTCATGAAAAAAAATCAATATGACTTACTAATAGCTTGGATGGAAGGGACAAATTAGAATATAGTAGAATAGCCTGAAAATCTGGAAAATGGCAGTATCCATGATTATAAGGGGTAGGCCAGAAAGAAGCACTGGTTTAAAGGAATGTTTTAGTGTTTTCCAGTTGAGTTTTAGCTGCAGTGTGGCAGAATATCTAGATAAAACTGTCCTTTATAGAGTCTACTTAAAAGTAGACCATGAGGAAGCTGGTACATCTAGAAATTTTCATCTTGATAACAGCAGCAACAACAAAATAAAGATCATTGAGCTCTTAGAGGCTGTGAGGACTTCCAGTTAAAAACAGCAGGTTGGCCATGCAAATGGGATTCAGTTACCACCAAAAATAAATAAGCAAAGAAAGAAAACAATGGTAAAGCAACTATGAAAGGTCTGATATGGTTAGGATGTTTGTCCCCTCCAAATCTCATGTTGCAATATAATCCCCGGTGTTGGAGATGGGGCCTGATGGGAGGTTTGGTCATGAGGATGGATTCCTAATGAACGGCTTGGTGTACTCCTTGTGGTAATGAGTGAGTTCTCACTCTGCTCTGAGTTCACGTGGGATCTGGTTATTTAAAAGCATGTGACACCTCCCACCCCCTTGCTCACTCTTGCCATGCCATGTGCTGGCCCCTACCTCACCTTCCGTCATAAGTGGAAGCTTCCTGAGACCCTCATCAGAAGCCAAGTAGATGTTGTTGCTACGCTTGTATAGCCTGCAGAACCGTGAGTCAATTAAACTTCTTTTACTTATAAATTACCCAGTCTCAGGGATTACTTCAAGCAAAGCAAAAAACGGACTGACACAAGCATATAAACACAATAGCAAAGAGAACAGAAATGGGAACAACAATAATGAAATGCTGAGGCTTGAAAATAGCTGATGCTAACTGCCTTAGCAGACAGGAGAATGTTAAATCCTATTCTGGGGAAAGCCAAGCAACACTCTCATTTTTACCCCCAAATCTCCAAAGGCACTGGAATTGGAAGAACCGGGTACCCAGGAAAGGTGGTGTTTGGGAGGGTGAGTTAAAATACCGGGTTAGAAGCAGGAGGATTCATAGGAAGTCTTTTTTGTGAAGCAGTTAGACCCCCAGTCCCTCCTCCCACTCCATGCAACCTCTTTCCCACAGTAGAAGCCTAAAGGGTTTTTCTCTGGAGAGAATAAAACAGAATGTCTCTGGACCAGGAGATAAGGGCAGGGATTACGAAGGCACTGTAAACAGGGAGGATCGATGAAGCGCAAGATTTCCAACTGAATGCAAATTCTGAGAAAAAATAGTATCCGTCTGAAATTCCAAACCAGCTAAACTCTCAGTTAAGTGCGAGGGCAGGAAAAATACATTTTCATGCATGCAAATATATTATATGTCTAAAATATATCACCCCCTTACGTTTTTCATCAAGCAGCTCCTGAAGAATGTGCTCAAATGAAATGAAGGAGAAAATAGGGAAAAAAGAAACAGAGTAAGAGGTGAGAGGCATCTTCAGGGTGGAAATCACAGGCAGATTCCTATGAAGCAGTTGGGCAGCATGCTTAGAAATCAAGAAATCCAGATTGGAGCAGGTCAGAAAATTCTTAGCAAGTGCTCTTCAAGAAGATGAGGAAAAATTTACACTACTGGAAGAGAGTATGGGATAACTGAGAGACAAATAATAGGAAATTTAACAACCAAAAACTTTTGCCAGAAAAATAGTATCAACGTTATTATAATACATAACTCAGCTATGGATAGTGTTTACATAATATTAGTAGTATAAAAATTATATTTGATCTAAATTGAATTATATTAGGAAGACAAAGGAACAAGAAACACATATTTTATGAGAGGCTGAGTGTGAAAGGTACTTAAATCATCATCTTCCATACTTGGAAAACAAAGAGTAAGTACAAAAACTGAAAACAAACAAGCTCTAATTCAGAATACTATTTAGAGACACTGGAGTACATACCAAACAAGTGTCTAAAAGAGCTGACTGTGGGTACCATAGTGTGGTAGGCAGAATAACACTCCTTCCCCAAAAGATATCCAAGATCCAATTTCTGGGGCCTCTGAATGTTACCTTACATGGCGAAAGAATTTTGCAGATGGAACTTTGCAGATGTGACTAAGATTAAAGAACTTGAAAAAGGGAGATTACTGGGGTGTGATGGGGGCAATGTAATCACTTGAATCCTTAAAAGTAGAAGAGAAAGGCAGAAGATGAAGTTGAGAAATGGCCCCAAGAGAAAGATCCACTGTCCTATGCTAGCTCTCAGATGTGGGGAGTATATACAAAAACTAGAGCTCAGGACAGCCCTGTGCTGACAGCCAGCAACAGCCCTACAACCATAGGAAACTGAATTCTGCTAACACGTGAATGGGCAAGGAAGCAGATTCTCCTCTAGAGCCTCCAGAGGGGAACACGGCCCTAGTGATGCCTAGTGATGCTCAGTGAGACCCAGGTTGGACTTCTGACCCACAGAACTATAAGATAATAAATCTGTGTTGTAAGCCACTAAGTTTGTGGTAATTTGTTACATAAACAATGGAAAACTAATACACATGAAAAATGGGAAATCATGGCAGGAGAGGACAGACTAATTTTTCATGAGAAACTCTGAAGAAATAGTTAACTCTTTAAATTACGTTTATGTGTACCTTAATAACGATTTTTAAAAGAGTAATTACAAGGTCAATATAAGATATTCACAGTTACTAAACCCACTACCAGAAGTTTACAACTCAAATTTTTAAGAATTCGGATGAGTCGAAAAAGCAACAACAAGAAGCATGGAGGGCAATATGGGATTCAAATTACTAGAAATAGTTATAAATGAGTAGAAATCATACTCCATTGTAACTACAGATTTGTGTTTCAGTTTTGTTTAAATTGTGATATTTATATGATATATATTTTATATAAGTTTTATAAATATGTATGCTTTTTAATTTGTGTTTGCTGTTTTAAAATAAGCTCATGAGAAATCCTGTATCTCAGAAATCACACTCAAAGAAGTGCCTAGGGGGAATTAAACGAGATTTTGAGTTCTGTCTTTACAAAGGCCAATGTATATAAAAAGAAATGAAATAAAATAAAACAAAGACAAGAAATACTATGGTATTCACTGATCTTTTTTTCCTTTTGGTGATCTATCCACTGCCTTAAAATGAACTATGTATCTTTTCTTTTTCTTTCTTTTTTTTTGAGACAGGATCTCACTCTGTCATCCAGGCTGAAGTGCATGGGCGTGATCTCGGCTCACTGCAGCCTCAGCCTCCTGGGCTCAAGCAACCCTCTCGCTTCAGCTCCTCCAGTAGCTGGGACTACAGGCTCCAGGCTCCTGCCACCACACTCGGCTAATTTTTGTTTTTGTTGAGACGGGGTTTTGCCACGTTGCCCAGGCTAGTTTTGAACTTCTGATTTGAAGTGATCCTCCCACCTCAACCTCCCAAAGTGCTAGTATTGCAGATGTAAGCCACCATGCCTGGACTCTCTTTTCTAAATAGAAAAGAGAGAGAGAGAGAGAGAGAGAGAAGCGAAGGGAGTAAAAAAGGGAAATGAAAACATAAAGTAGAATGAAGAAAGGACAAGAGGATATCCTGATATCCTGGGAGACCCCCATGGTTTGAAGCAGGAGTGTACAAGAAATAGAGCCAGAGAAGTGGGCAGAGAAGAGACAGTGGAGGCAGGGGCTGGTGTAGTGGATTCCATACGAAGGAAGGCCAGTTCTTTCATTCTTGACACTGACAATGAGGTACGTGCTTTGCTAGGCTCTGAAGATGCAGAGGAAATAAACAGATGTCAAAAGAAACAGTAGAGAAAAGAGGAAAAGAAAGAACATTCGAGAACAAAATTTCAATGACGCCCTCTACAAACAGTCAAGCACAGCTAATTAATGACATCAGAAAGAACATTAGTGTCTTCCTTGGTTTGGTAACTTGGAAGAGAGAAGTTATCAGGGACACTGAATCCTTCAGTCAAACTGTTCATCCAACTGTGTGCTCAGCAGGTGTGTCTCAAGACGGACTCCATGGACAGATTACACATTAGTGTCAGAAGTCGGGCGGGGGGAGCCAGAAAAGGTATGGCTAAAAACATCCATCCTGGCTCTAAAGGAAGCTTAGAGTCAATGCAGGAGCTCAGGGGATGCAGAGGCATTCTCCAAGTCCCCATCAACTTTGCCAAAAATGCTCATGACACCAAGCCCACAGGGCCCTTCTGTCCCTATGGAAGGGTTTTAACAATCTACAAAGTTGGTGATGTCACCTGTAGAGTGGTCACCTACAAAAATGAGGGCACATGGCTTAGTGATGACATGGGAGATTGAGTGAAATTTGCTCCAATGAAGTACACAGGGCTTTGAAGAATTTGCTTTACAATTTGAATCATAATCATGTTTTTAAAAGTTTTTTTTGTAATATTTCATGTAAAGGCAGATTAGTAATGAAAGGCACATGTTTCTCTTGGTTCTTTTATGTTGTCTTGTAAATGTTGGGTCTTAGAAGTTGTATTATTTTTGTCTTTGCTCTGGAGGCCTGCTGTTTCCTTAATTGATGTGGTAGCATTTGACTGGCTTTATTCCCATCGTCACATAGTCATTATTTTCCATATCTCAGTTGTTGCTCCATTTCATTAACTTTATTCAGAAAATTGCTCCCTATTTATCTATTTATAGGTTTTGAATGCATGTAGTCTTTGTCCAAAACCAGTATGATTTCCTTTATCTTTTTGCTTTTGATCTTTAATTTTTCTTTGTTCAGAATCAATCATTTTTCCCCTCGATACTCCCTTTGATATTCCCTTTTTCTACTGCTGCCACAGTAATTGGAATTTTCTTGAATTTTTACTTTATTTAAAATCTTTTGCTTGTGGGTGGTCAATTCGAGAGCCAGCCGTTCACAAGTCTGAAGCTCCTAATCTAATGCCCCAGGCTTTCAGCACCTCCAGTGCCAGTTCTAGCTCCTTCCTCCACCAAAGTCAATATCCTAAAAAGCTCTCTGAGCTCTTCCCTCTCACCAAGTAGCTTTTCTTTCCCTTTGTTGAGTTTTTCTGTTTTTGTGCGCCTATGATTCCCCCTTAACCATAGAATCATCACAACTTATAATCCTGATCCTTTTACTATTACTATCTGCTAATACATGTCAGTTCATTCATTTTAACTCATTTTTCATATTTTTACATAAACTCCTAGTGCCATTATTTACTATAAATTTAAACTTCTTAGGTCTTCTATTTCTGAACTATCAACAACTATCAACCAGTATATAAAACTGGCCTTTTGTCAGCTCCATGTACTCATTAATTTAATGTAATCGTTATTGTCTAGATCATTAAATCTGTTTTAGTTGATTGGTTCTTTTGTATCCTTTATCCTCAGTCTTAAGCCGAGAGGAAACTGTGTTGTAGAATTCAATATATATCCATCTGTAGAATGAATGAATGAAAACCAGTGTGTTTCGGCTCACGGGAGCACTGCCTAGTATCTCACCATCACCTTCTGTGTTGCTTTCTGCGATGTACGTTTAGATCCAGTCAGGCACGGTAAGGCTGTGAATCTCCGGTTTCTCTGATTTCAAGATTTCACTAACTGTTTATGAAACCTTTTATCTAGTTAACTCAGCTGCTTGCTATTAAGATGCGTTAGCTTCTTGGCTCAGAAATAAAGTCCCAGGGTAAGAAAATAAAGAGGCCTGGTGTTCTCTGTTACTGAAGCCCTGCTTGGCTGTCCCTGGCTTAAGCTTCCTGGGGCTAAATTATCTATAACAGATCTTGTTTTAACATTGTGAAATGTAAATTCTAAGGAGTGAGGAGGCACTCGCTGAAGCTCAAGAAGGCTGTGGTTCTGGGGAATGGTAAATGGAAGAAACAAGCACACTCTCATTCACTTTACAACTGAGGATAATTTTCCCTGAGGCTCTAAGGGCTCCAGCATTCCTTATTAGCACTTATTGCATACTAGCTGTGTATTATCCCCCTATTTAAAACCATGAGATGCTGCCAGAGCTACACTGGCCAGTGGCCTACAGTTCTTTCCTTTTTAAAACAATAAGAATTGAGCGACACTCAGTTCTTCCCAGTTTTGTATCATCTGTGCTTTCTTAGACTGGATTCTATCTACCACTTGCACAATAACAAATACCCTCTCTCAATTTTCTATAATTTATATTACTGGTGTTTTCCAATTAGTTCATGGAAATTCTTCCAACATTACTGACGCCATACCAATCCTCTTAGATGATATCACTACCACTCCTCCAAGTCCCTGTCAATCATGCCAAAACACTGCATGATACCAAGCCTACATCCCTGAATGACAGTGCCTCTCATTCAGGGATGCCACTTTGCTGCCTGCTGTCTTCAAAGCAGATGCAGATGTCCTAGGCAAGGCCATTAGCCCCCATTTCTTTCATAGTCATTGGTGTTTGCTGCCTCCAGAGGTGTGGGCCACAACTGCTGTAATAGGATCTGGGCACTGCTGCTCCAGGTGGGATATGGGACCCTCAATGTGACTAGGCCAGGCTACGCCTTATGGAACTCTCACTGTATCCCAGCTCATCTGTATCCCATGCTGAGGCAGGAAAAGGGCCTCCACTCTGCTGGAGTAATGTTTTGTCAGAGGGGGATTAGAACAGAGCTTCCTCACCACACAGAGTCTTGCAGAGATTTCAGTGGAATTATTCAGTGGGTTAGAGGATTATGGGAAAAGGTGGAGACCAAAAGCTGGAAGTCACACATTCACAATTGCCCCTCCTACTTGGGCCTTCTCCCACTGTCACTGGAACACTCTTGCATGCTTAACTTTCTTATAAATTGCATTCTCTTCCCAGAAACCTCTTGGGTGATTTATACAATTTGACCTCCGTTGGCCCCACCCCATGCACTGGACAGTCTTGCTTAGGTGTCCTTGAATCCTAGAGTGAACATTCACCAGGTTCATTTTGAGACTCCCTCTCTCCCCTTGATTTATTAGCATGAAGAGACATTAGCACGTCCAGTTCTTTCCATTTTCACTTCCCATATTTCCTATATTTTATATATGGCTCTGCAGGTTACAAGGTGCTTTGACATCAATCACTTCATTAGTTTTATTAAAATCCTAAGACATACACAGCACAGGTATTGATGCAAGTGTTTTAACCCTGAAGAAACTGAGATCCAGGAAGTTGTCGCTTGCCCAAGGCCATATGATGAATGAGTTGCACAATCTGAATGAGCTCTGCTATCTGTTAGTTCTTAAGACTTTACTTCATCACACTCATCCTCAAAATCTCTCAGTTACAGTTAGTGACTAAGTTTGGATAAAGATATTCTATGTTTAGTTATAAGTATAATTTGGTAAGGAGTTTGAAATGTTTGCAATGTTTGGCAAACGTAAAACTTATTTGTAAGCTAAGTTAAAAGTCTGGCAAGAGAGTATTTTACTGGAATTCACTCTTAGCTAATACAAATGTTATGGTTTGAGCTAACACAAAGGAAAAATAAAGAAAATTGTTTAAGTCCTACACAGATTTAATTCAGAGGAACAGTCCTTTTTGCAGATATAAGAGAAGAGTTTCAATTTAGTTCACCAAGCACAGCTCAAGTCATCTCCTTTCCAGGCCCTGTGCTAAGTGCAAGGGGGGATTACAAAGATGATTACAAAGTGGACCTTAATATCAGATGTTCACAGTCTGCAGGGGAAAATAAACCTCAGACACAAATAACTATGAGACAGGCTGAATGTGATAAGAAACGGATAAAAAGTCATGGTAATCCAGGGGAGTGGGAAATACTAGTAATGCATTCATTCTCTAAAATGTAAATAGGTTTCCTTTGCTAAGGGATAGGAACAAGGATCAAATCCACTTTATAAATCAAATACACTGGAGATGTCAAATGACCCGAAGCACCCAACCCAAGATGTGCCCACACAGGCCCCATAGGGCCTTTTCCTTGATGTCAGCAGAGATGGAGGCTTGGTCCTCCTTCTAACATGAGTGTTCTAAAGGGAGTGCATTGTATTGTTCTTAATCGGGGCAAAATTAAGAATCTTTGGTATTGACCACTGGAAATCAGGCCACTGAGCTGCGTGGGTGGTCTGACTCAGCCGAGTCCCTTCTGTCACAATTGATGTTTTCTAGTTTCATTAGAGGGTATTAGATTTGCACCGGGCAGATTCCCATTTTCAACAGCGTGCACACAACCCACTAATGATGATTGCAAATGAGAAAGCTGTGTGCATCCATACAAATTGAGATTACACCTTCATCCTTGGAATACAGTTGTGATTACATTAAAGACACATTATAAGTCTGTCTCCTCTCATTTCATTTATTGTGTGTGTGAGCCGTGTTGGATCCTTTTATCTTCTATTAAATTGCTCGCATTTCCTTTTGACTCAGATATGCCTTCTCTAGTACAAAACAGCAGCACACCCAACAGTTCCAGTTAGGAAGTGAAAAGGAAAACCGCAGCCACTTCAGCAAGTTTGAATATGGTCTAATAAGCACAAGCATCTGCAGGCATGGCAGCTCACACCAGTAGCCCCAGCACTTTAGGAGACTGAGGCAGGAGGTTTGCATGAGCCCACGAGTTTCATACCAGCCTGAAAAACATAGTGAGACCCCATCTCTATAAAAAGTTTTTTTAAAAAAGCATTAAAAGCATTAGTTGGGTATGGTGTATATAATGCACGTACTTCGGAGGCTGAAGTAGGAGAATTGCTTGAGTCCAGGAGGTCCAGACTGTAATGAGTTGTGATTGTGCCACTGTATTCCAGCCTGGGCAACATAGTGAGACCCTGCCTCTACAAAAAGTTTTTTAAAAAAGCATTAGCTGGGTGTAGTGTTGCAGGCCTGTAGTCCCAGCTACTTAAGAGGCTAAGGTAGGAGGATTGCCTGAGTCCAGGAGGTCAAGGCTGCAATGAGTTGTGATTGTGCCACTGTACTCCAGCCTGGGCAACAGAGTGAGACTCTATCTCAAAAAAAATGTTTTTAGAAGCACAATATGCTTTTCTCCATTCCAAAATATGGATTATGGAGATTATGCCTAAGACTTGCCTTCAATTTTCTTCTAAAAAGACCAAGCCTGGCTGGCTTATACCTGCTGCATCTCATATTCACTTTCCCTTTTCACTGACCAAGCATAGCCTTACTTCCACTTCCTATGCAGAGACCACGAGTTCTCAGGGCTTTAGCAGTACATGAATTTATGGTCAAAGGTTACAGGGTACCACTCTCTGTAAGGCCACTGAAGATTTTTTCTGGGAATCAAAATCAATCATTTTTTATACCTATTTATGTTTAAATATTGAGCATTGAGTATTTTCTCTTTTCTTAACATTACCCTACTCTTTCCATATATGTCCATCATTACAACTCCTGAGTAGATAGGGCTTATCGTATTGCCCCAGTTTTATAGGAGAGAAATAAAGACCTAGCCAGGGGAGAAAGGGGCCATGTAACACAGTCACCTGGCTGTAGAATTATAGTTCAGGTTGCCTCATGCAAAGTTCTGTCCTCTCTGCCCTGAGCCTATGAGCATCATAGACACTGACCACATACCAGGCATCGTACTGGGTCATGGGAATGCCCAGATGAGTGAGATGTGGACTCTGGCCGGGAGATCTCAGTGTGTACATTGCTTTGCCCTTCATATGGTAGGAAAAGCACCGGCCTGGGAATTGGGAAATCTGAGTTCTAGTCTGGGTTCTGCCCCTGACAACCATGATCACCTTGAGCAAGTACTTTAATGTCTACGCAGTAATGGCCCAGGCACTGCCTCTCTCTGGATAATTTTGAGATTCAAAGGAGAAAACCTATAGAATGGAGCTCGGAAAGTAGAAATCGCTCTAAAGGTGAGGATCTCTAATGACAATAGGAATATGTAGAGCTATCAGAAATCCAAATATGGGGTGAAACATGGGGCTTACAAGGCTTAGAAAGGAATCCATGAACACATACATCTTGATGGCTCCTAAAACCTTTATGTAAGCCGATGCCGGTAATGAGTAGGGAGAGAAAATAAGTCATCATTTAAATGCAGACAGGCACAAATGGGGAATGCTTTGCACACATTGATCATGTATTCATACTGTCAATTAGGTTCTAGATTTCTCTGATTCCCTCTCTGACTCCCTCTACCATCCCCTCTCTTCCTGCCAGGAGAGTTCCCAGAGACTCAGATCATCCTTGAGATTTATGTGTCAATCTTATTTGAAAAGAGAATTAGTCTTACGGAGGTTGGTAAATGCAGAATTGACGGGCATCATGTTATCCTTCCACATGATAGTAATAATTCTTACAAAATAAATATCCGCACCATGGTTTGATGCTCAAATTCTGGATTTCAAAATTTATCATGAGCTAAACAACTTTTCAGCTTTATTCACAATCAGTTTGCAAAGCTGTTAATATACTGTGACATCTATTTTCTGCTCAACCATAACCCTCCCTGCATATCCCTGCTACACCATCGGCAATACGGAGTAGACTAGTTTCTAGTCTGCAACCACCTGAGATTCCAAACTCCTGAGCACCAAACTGGGAGGCCACTGTAGTATCCTTCCTGCCTGCCAGTGAGAGACCCGGGAGAAGCCCTAGGGAATTAGGAAATAAATACAATTAAATTTGACTCCTCTGCCTGTCTTTTAAGACCATCATAAATTGTCATTGGTTAGTAACTAGGAAATAGGTTCTAAAATATTTAAAGTAATTGATTTTTTTTTCTTCTGTAAACAACTTTAGAGGTAAGCTCAGGGTTAGCAGATTATCCTTACATTTCCCTTCACATACACTAGGGAGAGAAGGGAGGGATGTTTGGGAAGATACAGTTATAATCTTTCCCAGCCGAAATGCTTAATTACACTCAGGTCTTGAATCCCCAAGTTGGCATATTTGGCCCATTCATTGCTCAGTAAATATTAATTGGTGGAGATGAGTTATAATTTAGCATGTATATACTATATAATTTACCTGTAGCCTATAATTATCTTAAATGCTCAAATAAGGAAATTGATTGAAGTGAAAAGAAAATAACTTACTTAACTTTAAAAAATACTGTTATAATTCAGCCTTCGTAAAAATCACCCACCTTCAGACGGCATTTCCCTTAGATTGGCAAACTACCATATACCATATACCATCTCCCATATCCAGGAAGACAAGATTGCAGTTGATGCTGAGCTCAGCTTTATGCATGTTCTGAAGTTCTCTGGTATAGTCAAAATATTTTGTGCTATCTGCTCACGTCAAATGGTTGCTTTCCAGGAACTCTGCCTCCTCTATATGCAGGAACAAGCCCCTAAAAGCCCACTTAAAAAAAATCTTGTCTTCTTGGCCACAAATGATTTATTATTTTTTTAAGTTTATTATTACTATTTGCCAATGGGGAGATGTAGTTTATTTAAACCAGAAACCATAGAGGAAAGGGGAATGAACAGTCAGCTATTGGAGGCAGACTCTTGGCTTAAAACAAATTCATCAAATTGTCTCCCCTAGGGTTATAAAATTAGGATTCAGATTTAACCAGTGCATTCCCTATGTGTGACTGGAACTGAGAGGATACGCTTTGGGAAGTTGTTGGGCATCCATCTTCTGCCCAGTATATGACTATAGGGAGACCGAGAAAGCCAGTCCCAGAGAGAGGGAGAATGAAAAGAGAAAATGAGCAGAGAGGCATAGACAAAAGACACAGGGAGAGTCCTTACTACACGGCTTCCTGCTGACTTTCCACTCCCTCCTTCCACGCCCTGAGAGGCCCAGCTGCTTTATGTCCTACAAGGGATACCATTTTCCATCCCACCTCCCTCTTTTTTTTTTTTTTTTTTTTGTTTAGCTTTAACTAGTTTCTGTTTCTTGCAATCAAAATAATCTCCTCCTCAAAACTTGACAACCCTTAGCTTATTCAGATAAGGGTGAGTCATGCCTCTGCCCCTCCCGTATATTCCCCAAGGAGACTGTAGTCTTTGCCCACTACCTACCTTTCAAACTCCATTTTTCCATGAGGAAGAATTGAGCTTTGTGTCTAAATTTGTGAGCCCCTATTGGTGAAGATGAGAACAAAATAAGGCCTTCATTCTCAGAGAGCCAAACAGCGCTTGCTCCAGCCAAACAAGAGAGCATGGACAAGTGAGTGGCAGCTGCCTCAGGACTCCTAGACCCTGACTTGGTGGTGGAAGGTGTGTTAAATAGTACAATCAAGAGGCAAGAGAATGCTTCCACTCTAGCTCACCCACTTGCACGCATACACCTGCTGAGACATCTGTGTATACATGAACACATATATGTGCACATGAGCACAATAGAAAAGAAAGCAAAGCTCAGTGATCAAGCCAGGGCGCTCTCTGCCACATCCTTATTCACATCCCTGGAGTCTTTCACAAGCCTCAGGAAGCGTTCAACCCAACCAGCCCTCCCATGGAGCTTGTAATCAGGATTGCCGTTCAGATCCATCTTTCAGGGCTCCTTGCTTTGCAGTTCTATTATTGTTTCATGAAACTTTAAAACTTTCCACCCTTCCTTCATTGTAGTCAACTTTAAATAAATTCAGAGTGTCACTTGTTAAAATAAATGACATTTAAACAACCTCAGCATGGTAACTCATTCCTCATTATCATAGAGAGCTTTTCTGAAAGGTCTATAGTACATTATCTCTACGAAATGGATTTTACCTTCAATATTAACCTCATTGCTCAGAAAGGACAGGTGCTAAGCACTGTGGTGAGAGGGGGCATAGAAATGCACAGGTAGATTGATAGAACCGAGTAAGTGGTGATGAACTAAAACAAAAGCAGGGAAAAGGTTTAGGTTAAATATTAGGTAGCAAATCTGAGTTGTGAGAGAGCTGTAATGATTGAGCAAGCTGCCATGGGAGCCTGAAGAATATCGTTATTATTTTAGCTACTCAAAGCTCACGGTGCCTTTGTCTCTAGCAAAGAGAAGTCACCTGCAGGGTGGGGCTGATAAGTACAGTGCACCACACACAAGCCTTAGGTTCCTGCCAGGCCAACACCTTCATTTTAGAATTTGGGAAACTGAGGCCTGAAGCTGATATTGCCTTACTTTCGAGGGCAAAATGAGCAAGTACCTCATTTTGTACCCTAAACTACCTCAGCTCTAGCCTTACCTCAGGCTAGAGCTGAGGTCAGCAAACACAGTGTCCAGAGTCTTCCCTGGGAACCATAGAGGCCTCAAAGTTCTTTTGCTCATTCTCTCTTGCCTCTCCAACCTTTTCTTTCTCCTTTGTAGTGTGGAATCCACTGATCCAACTGCCCATGCCCCCACCTACCAAGCTGTTTGCTCTGCCTGAAAACGCCTTGCATGGGTGTTTTTAGGCAGATCGTATAACATATTATATGTATCCAATAAAGTTATGTGCATCCAATAAAAAAAGAAGTTATTTTCTTAACAATCCAAGAAACTAAGAGGCCGTCTATTCTGTAGAGGGCTCCAAAACAATGGCCTAGGGGAGGTCACTACATGGGCATGTCCACACCCAGCAGAGGCCTGGGATGGCTGGTGATCACCTCTGGATGGGAGAGTCTCACAAGCATGGTCGCCTTCCAACCCACAACCTTTCTCTGAATCCGGATGTCCACCCATAGGACCCTCATGAGTAGAGTCTCTAGTGCTCTGGTCAGGTGCTGTGAGCTAGGTAAATCTTCTAGGTAAGTCCCAAAGTGCCTAGGCTATGTGCCCAGCCCTGAACAAGAACTGGTTAAGGCAGAAGACTAAAAGAGAACTTAGCCTTTGATTTATTTACAGACTTGTAGTCGATGGGGAAGGAGGCAGGTTTGACATGCATGAGGCAAAGTAAGAACGCATGACAGTACTCACGGGCTATTTAATCTACAGCGAAAGTGAAATAAAGACATCAGTGTGGGCTTGGGACAGAAGGCAGTAGGAAAGAGCGTTGGATATGAATAGGTATTACGTTTATATCATGAAAAATAAGCTTATATTTTTAAAGAAAGTAAGAAAATGGAATGAGAGTCCAGAGATGAGAAATACAGTCTTGGCTCATGACTTACGATGTGACCTGGTTGTTGTCCTCCCTTTATGGATTTACTCGTTAGCCCACTGGTGATATCTGGACTCTGTTTGAGTAGTGGGTGGGACCCTTTGCAGCCTCTCTCTTGCTGTGTCATATCAAGCAAGTGAATTCCCTGAATGTTACCATCTGCTTCCTCAGAACTTCCCTGGGGCCACAATGACTCGTGCATTCTCTAAATTTTCTCTCAGATTAAAAACATTTTTATAAGGTCCAAAAGCAGTCCAGAGTTTATCTCTGGAACTCATACCAGTAAGTGTTTAAAATAACTATTTACTGGCAATAACGAAAATATTTGAGGTGCTCTTATAAAGTTCTAGTTGTGAAATATCAGTAAAATAATTGCCTAATTCCAAACCATGTACTGTTCTAATTAATTCTGCATGAGACATTTTTCCACCTTCAAAGATTGCTTTACTTGTATTGCATAACAAAATAATGGTATAATTAGGAACAAATTTGTCACTTTTATAAGTAATTCTTTTTTATTATGTGTTTGGAAGCAAATCACAAGCATGATTAAAGGCCCCTTTAAAAGGTTTTATTAATTATTATGATTATTATGGATAATAAGCGTCCAGAAGCTGCAGAACGCACCCCGGGCAAGACGCACAAAGCCACAAAGCATGGCAGGAACAGGGATGGCTCTGAGATTCAGGTTTCTTTATTCTCACTGTTTGTCTTTTCCCTTGTTTAAGGCAGGGGCATCAAAGATAGGAAGTATTTCATGTTTCATCTCCTTCTACCTCTGTTCAGACTCCCTCCCAACAGGATAATCAAATAAGCGGGTCCTTTTGTCTTCAACACCCTCCGTCTCTTACCTGCCCACTCCCCCACCTTCACCCTCCATCTTGTCAAAAGTCCAATCAGTCCTCAAAAGTCAGCTCTGGAAATCCTCTGCCAGGGAAGCTTCTCTGCTGCCTTTCTAGGCTGGAGCCCCTCCTGAGCTGCCACTTCTATCCCCATCACTGGATGTGAGCTCTTTGAGGCCAAAGACCGTGTCTTGTGTTTGCTTTTGTTTCTCTTACATCCCCAGCACAGAGCCAGTTTGTAAGAGCCATTGAAGAGCATTTACTTAATTGATAGGTAAATTAATGAATAATATGTGCTCATCCTTTTTACTAATATGCATTGCCTAAAATCAATGGACTGGGCTCTACCAGTGAACATGGGTGCCAGGAGCCTCATGTCCAGCCAGCTATCCTGAGGAGAAGCTGAAGTAGCTGCCGCCTAGAACTCTCTCCCTCTATAATGGAGAATCCACACTTTAAATAAAAATGTGCCTCACTAGAATTCTCCTCTCAACCACTTAATGTGATGTCATAGATTCACAGATCATTATAGCCACAGGGTTCTTTAGAGGCCACTTTCTTCAAGTCTCTAATTTTGCATATGAGAAACACTAAGACTCAGCAGATAAGGATGGAGGCGACTCAACATCACACTGAGACAGGTCATCTGGGACCCATGGTTTCTAACTTCTAGACCGAATCTCTTTCTTTCGAATGTCCAGATCATCTCTCCTTCTTCTAAAAACCAAAGAGGCCTCTGCATGCCTCTCCCTGGGTGAGGGGAAGAGCGAGGATCCCATGTCTGGAGGAGGAGTGGTCACATGGCAGGCTTTCCTCTACTGTGTGTTTGTGCTTTTGTTTTCTGGGCTATTCCTTATGTTCACAAACATTTCACAAGTGTTCCTGGGGCCATAGGAGTGTCAGCTATCAGTCTACTTTGTGTCCCAAGGCCATTCTTCTGACTCTGTCTCTTCCCTTCCAAACTTATGGCCCTATGCTCACGCTACCCCTTAGCTAAAAGACAGCAGAATCTGCTGACAATGTCTGATGTCACCCCACAGATGATGATCCCCGCAGAAACCACATCAAAATGAGCATGAGGCAGAAGCCATATATCTTATTTTAGGTCCACAGCCTGGCTTTACCTTTCTGCCTGACTTCCTTTAATGCAGCCCTCATATTTGCAAGTGCTTGTCCAGGTGCACATTTGGAATATAGGGCAGCACTGAAAAAGAGTGTGGGCCAGGCTGTGTGAAGAGAGGCACACCTCTTCTGAGTAAAAATAAATGTTAAATTGGAAAGTTTTTTCTTTTTTTTCCCCACAACTCCAAGGACCACACCTAATAGTAGCCTGGCAGTTCTGGTTGCCAGTCCAGAAACCACCCTTGTATGGGAATTGGGGAAAGTACTGACCTTACAAAGAGGAGCCAGAAGAGAATGTTCCTCTGCATCTTGCCTGGTTCCTAAGATATCCCTAGGAGCCACATGGAAGGCACCATGAAGAGTAGCAGTAAAGAAGTTTGCTTTCTTTCAGTCAGTTATTTACAAGTTTTCTTTATATCTTTTCAAGTTTCCTTCTCTAAGGATTCATGCAAATATCACACCCAGAAGACCCATCACATTCTGAAAGAAAGACAATGGGGGATTCTCACTGGGTGATGCCAGGCCTTGGTCAGGGATAAGGTTCTAGGTGTGACTGATGTGGCTTAGGACACACCATGAACTCCCTGGGCCAGGTGGAGCAGAGCTGGGTCTAGTCCATGCATGAGGAAAAATGGAAGGAAACAGAGAAGGCATCCTTGCTGCATCAGTCAGATAGGGCAGGCCAGATGCAGGATGCTGACCTAGAGGAGGGACAAGACAGGAGCACAGGCAATCCTGGCTCTCAGTGGACATTGCAGCCAGGAGGATTTTTAGAACGCTCATTTGAGTGGCACCTCCAAGAGGGAGGAGCACGTAGCAAGGGTAGCTGTGGAAGGCAAAGCTAGATCTGGCCTCCATTTAAATCAAAGACCGTCTGCCATCTTTTCCTTTTTTAAAAAATGTTTTTCTGCTGCCACCTTCACAGTCTCCCCATGTACATGAATTTTATAGTCTCAAACACTTTGAGAATGTTTGGCTACAGCGCCCCCCGCCCTGGGTCTCCCCAGCCCAGTGAAGTAAAAAAACAGAAAAGGACAGGGGTTCGAGAAGGGGCCAAAGCCTAGTAACAGAACACTCATGGTGACTTAGAGGCTGTCTTTTCACAGATGAGGGGTAAACTTTCCCTAATAGAATTCACAGTGTCATTATTTTTCTGACCTTCCCCAATCCAAAAGACTGTATACCACTAAAAAGAACATCACGGACTTTTCATTTCAGATATGAGCCCTGCATTTCTGAATGCCTTGAAAGAAAAACCAGCAAGTTGGGAGGGCCGTGTCTCCTTATCATCTTCCAGGAATTCAAAACCGTGATTTCCAGTTTCCAAATGCAACTCAAGCTCCATCACCCTGTACATCTTGCACGGTTTCTCCAGCATATCCTGATCGCCACCTCCAGACCCTTCTGATAGATTCATTACCTGAATCTATTTGGTAACTAATCATCTGCTGTATTTATATTCATGGGACCCACACTTTGACTCTGAGCTACTCCAGGAGTAGAGGATGTGGCTTGCATTGTTCTTATGTCTTTCACAGGGCCAAGGAGATGAGAACCATCTATGCATTATTCACGCATTTATTCCTTAACTATGTATTCAGCACCTGCTCTCTGCTAGGACTCATTCTAGCTACTAAACTTACAGAGATGAATATAGGGCTCCTGAGTTTGAGAGCTCTCTCAGCCTAGTGAGAGAATCAGACATGTAGACATGTAATGATCATACAGTGCAACAAACATGCTTCAGAAGTGCAAGCAAAATGAGTTCTCTGAGAACACTGAGGAGCGGAGGAGAGACTCCAAGGGAATGGCAGTGAGATTGTGTGCCAAAGCTTCTCAATAAATATTTGTTCATTAATTAGGAGAGGAGTACACTTCTTTAGGGATTACAGGGACAAAATGTTCTCATTAGCTGATGATGAGAGAAATGTTTTCCTTAGAGTCAGAGAGCTCATGGGAGTTGGTAAGTGATAATCTGTGTATTAATAATAACAAAAGGAGGAAGCACTGACAGGAACACAAGGCTCAGATGCATCTTGAGCATCAGATAAATCCATTGCATTTCTGGGCCTGTAATGCAATCCTGCCCATCGTAATATCCCCTGCCGACTTTCTCCCCAGTCCAGGGAGATGCTTTTTGCCCACAGAGAGCCACAAACCCATACTCCAGGCACAGGAACCTATGTGGGCTCAACCAGCAGCTGATAGGCTAGGAGATGAGCAGCTCTTTCTTCAAGACCCTTGCCTGGGAAGGGAGGGGAGCCTCTGTGTGGCCTGGGTTTTGCCTGCACAGTTTATTTATTCTGTAGCATATGCTGGCTCAGCAAATTAAGGCAGCTCCAATTTTCCGTGTTCATTTTAGTCCTCCCTTAACTCTCATAAGTTGCATTTTGTAGCGATCTGGCCCTTATGGCTTATAAGGGAAGCAGCTGTGATTTTTCATCCTTTGAACTCTTGAGCCAAATGGCTTAACACTGCCCACTAGTTACCCTCTCCCCTGGATCTGATGACCAGCAATGTGGTGATTAGTAACAAGCGTCGTCTGCGAGGCTGGGAATGTTTTTTTATTCTTACAGCAAACTTCACAGCATCATGGTGCTTGTGTGTCCTCCATCTGTCAATAAATCAATGTTGACATGTAAGAAAACAGTAGTAAGCAAGTGAAACTGCTTTGCTCAGGTGGGAGAGAGATCTGATCATATATGCAATGTGAGGAGTACTCAGACCCTCTTTCAGATAATGTTCTATCACTTATAATGGGCTTTTGTTCTTGGTCAGCTTAACAATTTTTATGACTACCACCCTTTTCTTTCTCCTCTGTGTTGGCAGTTGTCACTTAGGCTCTGCAGCTGTCCATATTAAATAGCAAAAGACAGAAGTAGGTCCTATGGAGCAATCAGTCAGAAGAAAGGACTTATGTTTTTTATTCTATGTGTGCCAAATAACAGCAATGGTAATTGAAAACTTTACATTAAAACTCATGGCATTAAAGCCATTAATTTCTTAAAGGACAGATGGGCTATCTCTTCCATAGTAAGAAATTTTAAAAATCAATATTGAAAGCTAAAAATGAGGTCATGTAGTGTCAACCATCCTCCAGTCTTTGTGAGTTCAGAGTTCAAGAGCAACGTATTTGGTACTTGGAAACTTGCACTTGATGTGAACACTGGAACCCTTTATAGTATTTCATTGTACTATTTCGTCACTCTGAAGTTGCCCTCTCCAGATCTAAGTAACTCACGAAATTGTGTCTTTTAGGGTTTCAGCTCTTGTCTCAAGGATCTCATCTGGTTTGGCAACCAAAGGGAGGAAAATTAATTCAAAGAACTTAGAATATCAGAAAATGATAAGGCTAAAGCAGAATGTACACTGAACTATAGAAGTTTTACTTCACCTGTAGTCTTTGTAGGGCTTGACATTTAGTCTTGAATATAATTTTGGCTCATTGGCTAAGATACTAAACTTAAGAAGAAAGACAAATGTAGACTAGCGTGTTGGAAATATTGGGAAAACAGCTTACTAAAACAGAGAAATAAAAACATAAGTTAAGAGAAAGAGAGCAATCCACAATGGATAATCCCAGCCCCATAAAAGGAAGGCTTGTCTGCCTCTCTGTTTTTGTGCCTGGTCTTCTAGTTATGATCCAGACGAATGGGCATCCTGAGAGCTGGTAGCTGGTGCTGCTGTCAGTGGGCTCCCAGGCAGTCACACTTCATCCGAGTTATGGAGCTGACCCTGACCCTGTTGAGGGTCAGCAATGCTGACCTATGCTTTCGGGCAAGAATAACAATTGCAGAAGAGTTTGATACAAATAGGAGGGATGACACAATTTGTGATTAGCGAGTGATTAAGATTTTAGAACTTTGTTCCACTCTTTATAAAAGCATTTTAGGAGGCATGTGTTCGCCTCTATGTGCATATCCTGAACCTGGATATTGTAAGAAAATGCCAGAATCGTGGTTTCAAATAGCCGCACTAAATGTGGATCAGTTAGAACAATTGTATGAGGTTTATATTTAATCTTCCTCAACACTACCTAAAGCCAGTGCTGTTAAAATGCCAGCCGGGCATGGTGGCTCACACCTGCAATCCTAGCATTTTGGGAGGCTGAGGCAGGTGGATCACCTGAAGTTAGGAGTTTGAGACCAGCCTAGACAACATGGTGAAACCCTGTCTCTACTAAAAAATACAAAAATTAGCTGGGCGAGGTGGCAGGCACCTGTAATCCCAAATACTCAGAAGGCTGAGGCAGGTGAATTGCTTGAACCCAGGAGGTGGAGGCTGCAGTGAGCCGAGATCATGCCACTGCACTTCAGCCTGGGCCTCAAGAGCAAAACTCTGTCCAAAAAAAAAAAGTCTTCCTTTCGGTCCCCACTCTATTCCACATATGATAGTCTCTGTGTTGACACAGAGTTGTCTCTGAGTTACACATAGTCTGAAAGGAGCAGAAGTTCACAAGATCCAGTAATGCATGTCAAAGCTGTGATGTCATGAAACCAGCACAACCATGCTGAAAACATGCCTGGCCCTGGTGTAGGATAGTACAGATAAGCCAATCTTGCTGCTCTTTGCCAAGAAGCATTAATTAAATTTGGAGATTATTTTTCCATCTGAAAGTTTAACCTGCCTTGATTGTGTCAGACCAAAGCAAATGATGTCACATCATGGTACCTGCCCACTTGCCAACAGACCAATAGCAACTAGACTCACAAATGCCAGAGCTAACCCTCAGCATAAACTAGAGTCCGGATCAGAGATTTCAGACACTACTTACTGAGTTTTCTAGGTATACCTGTCTCCACAGAGAAGTATCACTTCTGTAGAGAAGTGGTTGTCAACTCAGGTGATTTTGCTCCTCACTCAAAAAATATTTGGCAATATTTGGAGACATTTTCAGTTGGCGCTATTGTGAAGTTGCTACTAATATCCAGCAGGTGAAGCCACAGATGGCTCCTACAATACACAAGACACCCCTCCATTACCAAGAATTATTTGGCCCAAAATGTCAATTGTGCTGAAGTTGAGAAATCCTGCCCTAGAATCACTAGAATATTGCAGAGTTGATATTTTCAAGGTATAGTTAGAAGGAATGACACTCAGCATAACCTACCCAAAGTGGCAGGTTTTCGATACTCTTCTAAGTCCTCTCCCTCACTCACACCTCGCCCCTATGACAAGGCTCCCATGTCATTCTATAATATGTCCTTGCATTGCATGTTCATTTTACGTATTCTTGATGAAGCAGGAGAGCCATTTGTATGGGGGAATAAAAATCATCAAGACTTGCCTTTAAAGTATTAGGGTTACTACTTGGAACTTGGCATATAATTCAGATTGGGCCTCCTTTCTGCAGCCTTCAGATAATTTATAGGCGGTTTCTACTGATGATCCTCTCTCTGGCCTCCTGAACAGTTCAGATCTCTTAACCTTTGAATTAAACATGCTTCACTCATGAAGTACTTTCTCTTGACTTGGCACAAATCATTACTCCTGCTTGTTTGAAGAGTTTCCATGTCCATAGCCCACCTCTGCAATTCACTTCACATTCCATTTCTGCAAGAAAGCCTCCCCCGCTGTTCCTGTTTGCATTTCTCTTATTTTCCTAAACAATGAATCACTGACTATGGCATTTTCCCCCATCACCCCACCTTATGTTAGCTGGGTTTTCACTATCCAAGTCTTATCTCAGCAGTGAATGGTCATGATGAACACTGGGTATATATAAAGAAAAGGAAGCCATTTCCTTGTATTATTAATAGTTTCAGAGCTTACTGTATTCTGGAAACTCTGCTAAGCATTTTATAGGCACTGCCTCAATTTTACAAGGAACATATGATTCTTCTTATTTTATAGATGAGTAAATTGAGTTCAGAGAATTTAAATAAATTGTTCAAGACCACGAGCTTTTACATTTCAGACCTGCAATTCAGACGTAGATCAGTGTGAACATAATAACCCATGCTCCTAACTAGTCCATTGCACAGCCTCCCTCAAGGTGTTCCCCATCTAAGAGAGAGCTACGTATGTTCATTTGGAGGCAGAAAACCTCCGTGAGCCAAGTCAGGCTAATGAGCTTTGTGGTGACTCAGCATCAGCAGGCTCCAGGCAGGCATCCCACTGATAACTTTAATGCACCTTATCTGAAACCAGCCTTGAGGACCCCTTGAACACGTGGCTCAGCACCACACGGTCTTATGAATAGTAATGAAATCCAATCAGGAGCGGAAGCCTTAGGTTTTAATTGAGCTATCCTTTAAAGGACTGCTCTTCTCAGTGTCAAGGTCATGTTCCCCTAGCTGAGGCAGTTATTTTATGTGTGTAACAACGATAATAGGCACTGGAGACACATTGAGGACAAGTGGCATGCGGCATGAAAGAAAGAAGGAAATATACGAAAAGCAATCATTGAAGTATACACTATAGACTTTCCCATTGATAATTGGTTTAAATTATTAAAGCACATAAGAGATTATTAACTAGAGAGAGTATAAATTACTTTTTTTTTTTTTTTTTTTTTTTTGCTGAGCATGACTTTTCAAAGTCTCCCAAACTTCCACATTAAAAAAGCTTTAAATTTGGAGTCATTAGAAAAAAAAATCTCTTAAAAATTATCTCCAGAGTAGATGGATAAGGAAAGAGCAGATGCTGCACGAATTTGAGATCATGTTACCCGCCATGAGAATATAAAATGTGAAATGATATTTAAATAATGCTAACAGGGCTCAGTAGGTGGCTGGCATTGGCCAAATCCAAAGAGTTGGCTTTGCAGGCCCCTGGGACAGGAAACATCTCTGGGCGATTGGGACAGACAGCTGAGCACACACCCTCAGAACTCCTGGAAAACTTTGTGACGCACAGCTCTGGGAGCACAGCCGCCTCAGGATGGAAGGACACATCTTCAGTAGATACCACTGGGAGGGGCCTCATCTTCCACCTCCACCTGTGTGCAGAGCAAGGGAGGGGAGCAGCCAAGCCCAAGAGATTTCAGGAAGAGGCCAGGCCAGGGAAAATGAGTGACATATATCTTCCTTCTCCTGCTTCAGATGCCGACTTATATCCCTGTTCTCCAAGCCCTCCTGACTTTCCTGCAAATAGGTCTGATGAGTCTGTTCTGATCTAATGCTATTCCAATCTTCTGGGGCTCTGAATTAGCATTTTGAGGATGTACTGTTCTGGCAAGAGACCCTATATCTAGTAAGGCCAATTATCTCCTTAGATTTCTAGTTCTATCTTTATTCATTAACTCCCATTTCCTCTCTCAGAAATGAGCTCATTTGGTCTGCTTGCCTTTTCTTTGAATGACTTTTCCTCCTTGTGGCCTAAATCCAGGATCTTTTTGCTCAGTCTCTCTCTAGGCCTCCTCCTTTGCCCTGTGGTTTCCTCTCCTCTACTTTTCATTTCTCAGTGGTGCTTCCACTGAAAGAATGAAAAGGCCGAGCAAAACTGCTTTCTCCTGCCAAGCACAGGCCAAGCTCTGCTTTTGTCAAGCATGTCAGGATGACAGAAATGCTACAGTTTCAGCGCCATTCTTTTAAAGATGGTCATGATATATCATTGCATGAGGTAAGAGGCTAGGAAACAATGTGCCTAGCACACACACATACACACACATGCATGCACACACATACACACTGCACACATATTGTGATGGATACCTCTTACCAACCTTCCTCAAACTTGTATTATTTTTGTAATTGTTTCTCCCCCAGGTCCAACCATAGTCTTTTTTTTTTTTTTTTTTTTTTTTGAGACAGAGTCTTGCTCTGTCGCCCAGGCTGGACTGCAGTAGCGCGATCTCGGCTCACTGCAAGCTCTGCCTCCCGGGTTCATGCCATTCTCCTGCCTCAGCCTCCCGAGCAGCTGGGACTACAGGCGCCCGCCACCACGCCCGGCTAATTTTTTGTATTTTTAGTAGAGACGGGGTTTCACTGTGTTAGCCAGGCTGGTCTCGATCTCCTGACCTCGTGATCCGCCCATCTCGGCCACCCAAAGTGCTGGGATTACAGGCGTGAGCCACTGCGCCCGGCCCATCCAACCATATTCTTATATGGTGCCGACACTCTTTTTCAGGATCAAAATCAAGTTAATAAGACCAACAATATTTTTTTCCCAGATTCATAATTATTTTCAAATTGGAAATGGAAAAGTATTTTCTACTCCAGAATCAAAATTACCCCACATGGATGAAGCTGTACTACAGAAAGAAATAATAATGTTGGCACCCAGAGAGAAAGGATAGTCAGAGATGCAGAAAGCAAGACTGCTAATGGAGTTTCAAACTTGGATTCCAATTACTCTCCCGGACTTCCTGTAATTCAAATATCAGCTTCTCCTTTGATTATGTGACCTTACTAGATGTCCTGCCAATAAATTCACTTCTTATCTAACCTCTGTTAGTTCACTTACTGTTGCTTATATACAAAGGACTCCTGAATAACATAGAAATATATTCTTGAATAACATACACCAATATATTAACAGTACTTATCTCTGGATTTTCTCTTTTACTTATCTGCATTTACCACTGCTTTATAAGGAACCCCAAATATTTACGTACTTTTATAATAACTTACTCTTTTTTGTCATGGTGATTTGTCTACTTATCTGATTAAAATAGAAATACTTTTCAGAAGAATAACAAATGTAATTGTGAAGAAATTCAGTAGATATGAGGCATCCATTACCACTGGGTCAGAATCGTATGTTTGTCCAGCAAATATTTATTGAGTGCCCAGTACTACTCAGCACTGTTGGCCAAGAGTGAGCAAACCTGGACTCTGTGTTTGTGAAGTTTGTGAGCTGGTGGAAGATACAGACAAATCAGTAATCACTCAAACAAATGCAAAGCTGCAACTGTGATGATTGCTATGAGGAGAAGAAACTTGGAAATAAGGAAATATGACCTAGTTATAAAAGTCAGGAATACTTCCTGGAGAAAAATGACACTTAAGATGAGATCTGGAGATAAGAACAAGTTAACTGAGGAAGAGAGGAAGAAAGAACATTCCAGGGAGTGGAGGCTGCATATCAGATGCTCCATGAAAGGAGGGGATATGGGGCATCTGGGACATTGAAAGAAAGCCAGTGTCACTGAACTGGAAAGAGCCAAGAGCTATAGTGTGAGAGGGAGCTGGTGAATTAGGTGATGACCAGAGTATGAGACACCTTGTGAATCAAGTTCAGGCATTTTGTTTTCTTCAGAGTGTGGAAGGGCTGTTAATGGACATGCATGGAATGTCTCTGTGCATGTGTGTCTGGGATATGAGTGGTGAAGTATGATCAGATTTGAATGTTTTAGGCATCACCCTGACTAAGGTGGTTTGAATGTCCCATACAAATCTCGTGCTGATATGTAATCCACAATGTTGGAGGTGGGGCCTGGTGAGAGGTGATTGGATCATGGGGGCGGATTTCTCATGAATAGTTTAGCACCATTCCCTTGCAATAGCGAGTGAGTTCTCATGAGATCTAGTCATTTAAAAGTGTATAGCACCTTCCCCGCCTCTCTCTCTTGCTTCTGCTCTTGTCATGTGATGTCACTGATCCCTCTTCCTCTTCCACAATGATTGGAAGCCTCTTGAGGCCTCCCCAGAAGCAGATGCTGCTATGCTTCCTGTACAGCCTGCAGAACTGTGAGTCAATTAAACCTCTTTATAAATTACCCACTCCCAGCTATTTCTTTATATGAATGCAAGAATGGACTAACACACTGACCATGGAACATAGACAGATGTGAGAAGATCCAGAAAAGATGCAGCTCAATTAATTAGAAAGGCCTCTGGAATGGGCACAAGCCAGGTGAGAGATGATGGTAGCTCATCATGGGATAATGGTGATGAAGCTAGAGAAAAGAGATTTTGGGGTGTATATTCACATCTCTGTTTTCAAGAAATGTAATTCCTATTAGAGGCAGGAATTTCCTTGTCACAGACAAGGGGACTGGAATTTATAAAAACATAACTTGGCCAAATACAATTGAGCTAAAATGTGTTGAGCCTCATTTCTATCAGAAGTAAATAGAGAAAGCTTCAAGCAGAGGTAGGACCCAAGCTATGTACTAAAGAATGGGTCAGCTTCTGTGTAAAGGGGAGAAATTATTGTGGGATTTAGCAGGAAACAGGAGACACCCTCGAATTGGGTAAGTTGAGAAGAGTTCAATAAAGAGACTACTTATAAAGGTATGAGCAATGTGTACAGAAATTCCAAGGAATGGTGACATACCACAGGTCTAGTAACCACCCTTAGACTTGAAGGATTGAGAAGAGGAAGTGGCCCCTGGAGCCAGAGAGAGAGAGAGCGCTAGGTAGATACATTACCTGATGAAAGTTGATGCTTTACAACAAAAGGTAAAGCAAACTCACTATAACCCTGCAGGGAGGGGAAGGGCCGGGAGAAATGCATACTCTGACCTCACTCTCCTTTCTCCCACCAGATCCTGAACTCCTGCTCTCCCTTGGCTCAACCTCATCACAGCCAGAAAGGATGAGAGCTCTTTAATGAAGTGCATACATGTCAGTTTCCCAGGACACAAACCAAAGTAAAGAAGAATGGAGCATGCTCCTATAAAGGAAAATAAAAGGAGATCCATAAAGCAAATCCAACTCATGGACACTTACTAAACATGCACTGTGTTCATGTAATGGCTCCAAGAATCTTAGTGGACATGGACGGAAGTACACACCTGGAGTGGACCTACAGAAGCTCAGAGTCAAATGGCAGAAAGATGATATGGGCATTGAATACATTAAATGAAAATAAAAGTAATAAATCACAAGAGAAGAGAGTAACTGAGGGTGTCACTGGGCAGTACATTAGCAATTAATTACCAGACACCTATGCAGTTAAAATGTACTGCTGGCCTTCAAAGGTGAAGGAATCCATGGCCTGGAATGACCATAAAAAATTTATTTTAACAAAAAGACATGACTGTAGCCTTTTAGGGTAAAGAGATTTTAACATTTGAAGAGCAGAGAGACAGGTACAGCATTGCAGGCTAGGAAATGTGGGAGTTCAAAATGGCAGACCAGGAGGAAGGCAAGTTGTGTTTGGGAAAATTGACTTTATGGTTATTAGAAAGACCATGTAAGCAAGCAGAGATCAATTGTGCTAGAAATGTTTTTCAAATTGAGCATCTGGTGTGTGTTAGGCACTGCTCTCGGCACTGGGGATACAGCTGTGAACATGATCAACAAGGACCCTGCAATCATGGAGATTAAATTATAGTGAGGCAAACAGAATATAAATAAATATACACATTAGGTGAAAGCCAGACAGCTTCGGGTCTTATGGAGAGAGTTACTGTTGGAGCATGTACTAGAGAATGACTAAATGGTAACTATATGGGATGGTCGAAGATGACCTCAATGAGGAATCTCTACACTTAGATAAGACCCAAATAGCAAGAATGGTTCTTGTTCTGTATTATAATCAAGAGGAAGAGGATTTCAGGCAGAGGGAAAAATGGGATCCATGGGCTAAAACAGGTACTTGAATGATGTTTTTGAGGAAATAAATGAAGATCAGGGTGGCTAGAGCATTGTGATGAAGGTTTACACCAGGTGCTGGCTGGTTTTTATTCCTAGTGAGAGACAATTGTTGCATTTTCAGGGATTTTGTAAGGCAATTCATATAACGTTGGTAGCTTATAATTGACTATGGTAGGAATATTCATACCTGAGAAATCGGCAAACACTGTGAATCAGGACTCCCTCTTTGTCCCCAACCCTCAACTCCCATTCAGAGAGCCTGTTTTTGAGTATTTTCTTGCATACCACAGAGTGAGTATAAGAAGCAGCTGGAATAGTAACTAGGAACCAATCATCTTAGGCTTTATAAGGCAGAGAAAGGAATTTTAATTTTAGGTGTGTTGGGAAGCCATTAGTGGGTCTTATGTAGGAAATGAATATGGTCTGATTTACATATGTAAAGGATAATTCTGAGTATGTTATGGAACACTTTGTAAATAGGTAAAAAGAGAAATAGGAAAATCAGCTATTGCATTAGACTCAGTTAGAAGTGGCAGTGGTTTTGCTAGGGGTTATATAAAAGGAAGAAAACTTAATAATGTTAGGCCTGACTATAGGTAGAATCTATAGTTTTTACTCATGAATTGGATGTAAGAATTGAGGAGAAACGAAGAACCAAGTAAAAATTTTGAGCTTTGGCTTGGGAAACTAGGTATATGGTAACGCCAAAAAGAGAGATGTAGAGAATTGATGTAGGAGCAAAGCTGGGCTGGGAAATTGAGAAAATTATACCTGCCTTGTTAAAGTTGAAACACCCACATGACACTCACCTGGAAGGATATTCACACTTGGATTGTTGGGGAATAATAAGAACTAGAGATACAGTTTGAGGGTCACTGGCATAGAGATAGTAATTAAAACCAGGATGTCAGTTATATCACCTAGGGATAATGCAAAGAGAGAGAAAAGCAGGAGATAAGACAGATCGAGCAGTGGGAGAAGCCGGCATTGAAGAATGAAGAGGAAAACCAGGCGTGTCTAGTGCCATGATGCCAAGAGAAAAACCCAGCTCCGAGAAGACAGGAGTTTGTTTGCTAATGTTATTGAGGGATAAAGTAAAATACGAAGAGAGAAGTAACTTGGACTGGCGGCAAAGCGATCACCAGTGCTCCTTCTAACTGTGGTGTCGATAAAGTAATGTGGACTGGATGAAGGAGCCTCGTTGGAATAAACTCATGTGAGGATGCTCACTGAAAAAGCAGACATGAGTATAAAAGGGGCAGGGAGTAGGGGGAGTGACAAGAGTTGGAGGGGGATGTGGGGTCAAAAGAGGTTTTTGCTGACTATATTTTATTTTTCAGATAGGAATGATGATACCGTGTTTACCTACTAATGGGAATGACCCTATTGAAGAGGGAACATCACGTATGTTGGGGAGCGGAAAAGTCAAAGTCCTCGAAAAGGTGAGAAGGAATGGGATCTAGGGCACAAGATGAGGGGTTGTCAATTCACCAAACGTGTATTAAATGATTCCTATGTGCCAAGTTTCACTGAACAGATCTCTGAAAGCACATCTGGAATATTTTCCAGCATTAAGTTCCCCTAGTTGATTTCAAGCTGCTTGAGAACTGAGAGCTTATTTTGTTATTGTTCTCCAAGTCTCGGACACCAGCCCAATTTCAGGCACACGTTAAGACTTAATAGTAAGTATTTGCCAATTATATGTTGAATAAAACTAAAAAGTTTTCATTTAAATCGTTACCATTAGCAGTTATTGGGACATCTGATTTAATCATAAGCAGCATTGAGGAGATAGACATAACTAGCAAAAATAGACAACTTCAATTACAGATTTTTTTGTTCCTTACTTTAAATTTGACTTAGATTGGCAGGGAATAAGGTTGGGGCCAGATGGATGTGGGAGTTGAGGAAGAGAGAGCTCCCTCTCTAAGTCACTAATGAAAGAGAATTATTGTATTTTACATAAAATCTAGTTTAGTTTAATTCTTGAAAACAACTAATCGTACGCATCACCTCAATGTACCTACACATAGTATTGAGTTTCAATTTTTGAGTGTGTTATCTTAGTACGTCTTCTCTATAATTGTAACCTACTGAGCTTCCCTGAAAACATACTTCATTTCTGCCTGTGTATGTGCCTCTGAGGCCAGTGCAACCAACCCCAATCACTTTTCATAACCCCAGCACCACCCTGTCACTCCTATATCACGCTCAGTCCCACATCTTGTTCTCTCCCTTGAAATGGTTCCTTCTTTCTTCTTTTATTGTCGAAATTTTCTCATCTTTCAACATCCAATTCAAGTCCCACCAACTCTAAGAAATCTTTCCAAGGGTAAGAAACGTATCCACTTGCTTAAATTCTGTAGTATTTAGTGAATTCGTTATTTAGCAATTGTCGAATAACACCTCATATTTAATTTGGTGGCATGCGCGTGTGCATGTGTGTGTGAGAGAGAGAGGGAGAAGGGAGAGAGTTTCGTATATATCTGTAATAATTTAACCTGAATAGATACATTGATATTAAGAAGTTGGCTTTAAAATAGCTTCTGCTTCTCAGAAGTTCAGAGAACAAGACAAGAAGTATCTATAACAAAATACTTCAGGCTCACTCTCTGCTTCAAAGATGGTGCCTTCTAGCTGTGTCCTCACATGGTGGAAGGGGCAAACAAAGTCCCTTAGGCTTCTTTTATAAGAGCATTCATTCTATTCATAAGGGAAAAGTCACTCATGATCTAATCATCTTCCACAGGACCCACCTCCCAGCATTATGCTGGAGATTGCATTTCAACACATGAATTTTGGGGAGACGCAAACATTCAGATCGTAACAAGGGCTAAATGACTTTTGGAAACTCAGCTGTAGTGCAGGTGAAACATTTTTGATTGCTTGAACTACACAAATGCTGTATCAACCACATCCTCCTAAGTAGTAGGGTATTGACTCTGTTCTTTTTTCTTGAAAATTATATATATACATATATATGCATATTTTCTATTTTTGAAAGCTTTTCTAAAATATGTGTTTTAGAAAAGAAACAAAGTTTTTTCAATCACTGTAATCACTGTCACATCCAACAAACGAACCACAGCTACCTGGAGGGAAGAGGCAAAGTAATGGGATTAAGTGGAGAGCTCACAAGACTAGGTTTCAAAAACCTGGAATATTCTTGAATCTGCCTATGGATGTGTGATCTTGGGATAGTCATTTCCCTTTTCCGGGCCCTCGATTTCTAAAATGAAAGGTTTTGACTAAATGATGTTGAAGATCTTTCCAGCTCTGTCAGGACACGATGCTAAGGTTGTAAATGAGATCTGAGTTTATCACTCTCCTTTGATCAACACTGCAGACCTTGCTCCTTCCTGACATGCTGTGCTTCCTGGAACATAATTGACATAATGCGGGTGTCATATCTCTTTTGATTCCCCAAGCATGAGCGAAGTCATCAACTCTCCTCGTTTAACCTTTCAACAAATAGCTCTGTTTGTTTCAGCCAGGGGCAGTATATATAATTATAATAAAATGTCTTAATACAAAGATGAACACGTAATATTCAAGCCACTAAATTAGAAAATATCCATGTCCCCATATGGCACCCGGAAATCACTCTCCCTTTAGCGACTAGTTTTCAGTTAGTAAAAATGGAAATCAATTTAGCAAACATCACGTCTATGCTCGAGCCAGAGCTGTCCTAATATCCCCTACAGTGGTGTCCTTGCAGGAGCCAGCTCAGGCAGCTAGCAGTGCACCCCATTTCGCAGACGGAGACAGGCTTTGTTGCTAGCCATGCAGATGCCCTCTGGCAATCCTCACTGGCGCCTGCCTCAGCAACAGAATTGGCTGCCTCTTCTTGTTTGTCTCTTTGCTCCTATAGGTGTAATGTGGGTATTTGTTTTACTAAAGGGTTTGCTTCACTCACGAGGTATTAGACCTAGGGATCAGACATGAAATAATTATTCAGCCTCCAGCAGCTTTTTTTTCTGGTGCTGCCATTTCTAAGCCAGCAGTCAGTTTCTGCAGGGATCTGTGTTACAGGAGAAAAGCCACTCGCAGCCTGACTAGATTGCGTATAGACAGAGAAAGCCCTATTAAACCCTTTATCTACTGTTACCTTGAAAACAAAAGAGCATCCTCCAGCTTTTCTCTGAATTGCTGTATTCCAGGAATCAAGTAAATGACTCGGCTGTTAGTCTCTGTGAAACCCGGTTTACATCTTTTACCTCTGGTGATGGTGACCTTCACTTGGGGCCTCAAAACTCACTCACACACTGTGTCTTCATCATGTTTATGTGCCTTTGGATAATTTCTATGTCGTCATTATAGGCATGATTTTTGGTTTGCTTTCTAATTGCTGCTTCTAAGAATTGATTAGAAGAATG
This sequence comes from Homo sapiens, assembly GCF_000001405.40. NCBI lineage: Eukaryota > Metazoa > Chordata > Mammalia > Primates > Hominidae > Homo > Homo sapiens. The sequence continues at coordinate 21,633,108 of NC_000002.12, read as the reverse complement.
AGCATTCGATCTCTTCCACACAGGACTAAGTTCATTCTGTTTTGTTGTTGTTACTGAGAATACCACTTAGCATATCGTTATCTATTTCCAAAAATCTTCCTCATGTTTGCCATCAATGAGCCTCAGGATTGTGCTTCAGTTCATCCAGTCCAAATAACTCATGCAGAGTACTTGGCATCTGAAGTTGTAGATAACCACAGATAAGTACATTCAATCATTCCTCAAATGTGGAATGAGCAATCAGGAGCTGGGTTCTACAGTACTTGCCTTTCTGGAGATCATGGTCCAGCGAGAAATACAGAAAATGGAATAGGAACAATTACTGTAGAATACACTGAGAAAGGTACTGGGTACTGGGAGAGGCAAAGTACAGGCAAAATGGAAGCATAAGGCGGATCACTCCTTCTAGCTGAGCAGGTCGGCCTCAGGTGACTTTTTGTGACAGTGCAAGGCATGCCTCATTCTCCATGTTGATGTCGTCTTTTTTGATGTTTCCATTGTTTTGATGTTTCTATTGGGTCAATGTCACCATTAAATCAGTAACATATGTATAATATATATAATATATTGCACTATAATGTTATTTGTATATATACACATAAATAATACATATTATTATATTTTATATATGTGTGTGTGTGTATATATATATAATAGATAAATAGGAATAAAAGATTATCCCTATTCAAAGAACTTAGTTGAGAAATGAAGCAAAAATAATTCCTACTCCTAGGGAGTTTATAGTTTACACACAAAAAAAAATATAGAGAGGCACAAATGTGGTATGAGATCTTGGTGATCAGAGTTAAAAGAGCAGAATGTATTCTAAAACCTACTTTGTTCATAACTACACATCAGGTAAATCAGAAAAGAGCCATCAAATCTAATCTGTCAACATCATTGTCTCCCATGCACCTTCTATGTTTCAGGCTCCAAGGATATAAAGGATAAGACACAAGGGCCAACACTAAGAGACAAAATTAAAGCCCTAAGGAGACACTGAAAGAGGCTAATTGTTTCTACTGCAGCTTTCATAGTCAGACATCTCGGATTCAATCTTTGCTCTACCATTTACTAGCAATGTGACTTTAGGCAAATTTCTTCATCTTGCTAAACCTTTGGTTTTTCACCTGTAAAATGAGGATAACTAAAAATGCCTAATAGGGTTATTTTTCAGTTTAAATGAGATAATATGGTTACAATTCTTAGTATAGTTCTTGGTTTACAACTGAGTCAATAAATGATACAACTCTTTTATTATAATGAAGCATATGGTCTAATAGAGGTCCTGTCATCATCTTCTTTCAGGAAGGGGTAAATACAGTCACCTACAAGATAATGGAAACTAACAATGGATACATTCCTCTAGCCAGTGGATATTGCTACTAAGAGATAGTAAAACTTACAACCAAACCCCTATAATGACCAAGAAAGTAAATAGATCTTAGAAATAAACTTGATTGACTTAAATGTTGAATTTTATCTGTACATCAATGTATAGCAAGGAACATGAGTGAAAGCTACCCTGAATCCAAAGACTCAGAAATAAGGAAGGTAGGCAGTGTATTTATGGCCTGGCCATTTGCCCCAATGCCTTTAATCATCCTGACTCTTGTCCAGGTCTGAGGCCTCTGCTCTTTACTCCTACAAATTCATTATTTTCTATTGTTTCACCCACATTCAGTAATTGAGGGATTCCTAAGACTTTTATCAAACATCTACTATAAATTGTTTCCTATTCTTTGGAAGCTTAGAACAGTAGGAAAGTTTTCTCTTGCAAATTGTTTTACCTATTTTAGGATAAATTGTGTTGCTAAATGAAAGGTCAGGGGGCACTGGTTCTTTCTGAGGCTCTCCAAACAAGATCAACAGATGAAATAGAGAGAATGTAAAATTCACCACAGCAATCTTCTTCAATTAAAGGATTTATGAACAAGTATTCAGAGAACTCAATTCTATGGAGAAAATTGACAAGTAGAGACCTTGAAATGGAGGATGGCTCGAAACTATGGAAGCTGGGAAGTGGTGAGCAGCTCCAGAGGTTAAAGCAGAAGCTAGAGATGTATTGCCATCTAAATTTATCTATTCAACAAGGTGAGAGGTGGAGAAAAGTCTTTGGAAGAAAAGTTCCACTAGGCTGCTTTTTTCCTCCCTTTTTTCCATAGGAAGCACTTTGGAAACCAATGGCTGAAAAGTTTGCTTTCTGTGAGAAGTGTAAATCAAAGTCATGTTTCTGTTTCCAGCAGTAGAGGAAAGAGAGATAAACCTGATGGACACAAGCAGGTAAAATCTGCCCAAAATGACTCTGGGGCTTGTTGAAAAATTAACGCCTATGAGATCTGTCTCATTCGAGGGCAAGGCATGGCGGATCACCTTTCCACATCAGTGCCTGGGTCTGATCTGCACCATCTTTATACGCTCAGCAGATTAACTGGAGCCATCTGAAGGAACCCTATAACCAGGAGGCCGCTGTCCTCAGGGTTGAGCACCATCTATGGTCATATCAGGGAAACTGTATATTTCCCAGCCAGGAATAAACATTCTTGCTTTCAAGTCTCCCACCCTGATTGCCTCTGTGTTCTCTGGAAATACAGATAAAAATAGACAGGTCACACCACAACTAGCTATGGTTTGACTTTCTAAAGAGAAAAAGAAAATACTAACCATGATGGGGTGAAAATAGGCACAGAGACAGTAAGGTATAGTTAAGAGTAAACAGCTGGAGTCAGTCTCCCTGGGATCAAATTCCAGTCTCAGCGCCTACTACCTGTGTGACCTCAAGAAGTTGTTTAACCTCTCTGAGACTCAGTTTCCTCTGCAAAATGGAGGTAATAATGGTAGCAGTTGCATAGGATGAGTGTAGAAAATAAATATTAACATATGAAAAGCACTCAGAATCATATCTGACCCATAACAAAAGACTGTCATTATTATCAATAATTTCTCCTATTTTTTTTCTTTCTAATTTGGACCTTGAGAGAAGGAGAACTTGGCCCTCTTATGCAGGCCTTTGGATAATCAGACCCCATGAAGGCTTTCTTATGTGTAGGAAAAAGAGCCTTGGAGAAGTCATTGAGACATTTCCTTGTTCAAGATTTTTCTGCTTATTCCAGGGCCCTGGATCCACTTTAAAGGGACATCCATGGAAACCAAAGAGATAAGACTGTGCCTCGTCAATAAAAACCCCACATCTCTGGGACTCTGCCACCTGGGGCATTGTTGCCCTGAAGGAAGAAGCTGAAGGGGAGATTTAGTTCATTTGATTATCAGCCAGAGAGGAGCCATCCTTCAAGGCCTCCCAGTCTCTGGCTGCAGCAGTAACTGTAACACTTTCAGCAAGTCTGTACCTAGGCCTTGATCTGTGTGTAACTTTGGAGGTAGTTGAGCCGTTATTTGAAAGAATATTATTTTGAGCAAAGGAAGGAGCAGTAAGAGCTTTGGCTCTCCAATGGGGAAAAATGTATTCATCCTTTCAAACCTCTCAGTTAGACTTAGGCAAAATGCCCAATCTGCAGAAAACAATTGGAGATCCCTCTGAGGTCCTACTTGGTGGATCTTCTCTCTTAGAAGTGAATAGACACAGGAGCACAGGGGTCTTATGCAATAGATAAAAGTTCCTGCCTCTGGACACACAGCTCAACCTCCAGTCTCTGATAGAGGGAGGACCTATGCCTTTCCATGTGTGCCCAGAACTCACCAGCATCTTCCCTTGCCTGCAGAGATCAGTTCCTACTGCTCCTTCCTTGGCTCAAAATATATATTTTTTTAAATAATGGCTCAAATACCTCCAATGCTGGTAACTAAGAATGCCTGAAAGGGACTGTTACTGGCTCACCTTAAAAACCAAAGGTGTCATTTTCTGAACATTGTTTACATATTATGATTCAGTAGCAAACACACTGGTTTGGCAGTCAGACCACGAGAGTTTAGCCATGGCTGTGTCTGCTACTAACTTGCTGTGTGACTTTTTGTACCTCTGTTCAACTCTCTGGGATGAATGAGTCATCCTTTGGGTGACATGAAGATAACGCAGATACTATTCAGATTCATGATTGTCTCATCAAGTGAGGCTGCAATGGCCTCCAATAATGCAGAAAGCAATGAGACATATTAGAGAATCTACACATTCCAAAACTGTGTTTAAGGTATTTCACAGAGGTCATTGGTTGAGAAGTGAATTCTATAACAAATCTGTGATGTTTGACAATTGAAAACTAGTAAAACTATATAGTTACTTAAAAAAAAAAAGGGAGACTGTCAATATACCCATTGCTTTAAATGTGTTCACTTTTTAAGTAATAAATGTATCAAAATTATTTTTTTTCATTGGCCTCTGTCATAAAACAACAACTCAATGATGAAAAAATTCCAGAAAGTTTTTATGACAAGCTGAGCAGTGGAAACATGAACTTGTGAAATATTTAACTTTATATAATTTCTGAATCTTTCCAAATAAAGAATTCCTTCCACCTCTCCCTAGAAAAGATGACATGTCTGTGGTTCCATTCATTGACTAGAATGTACTGGTGGGTTGTGATGTTACATTTACTAAAATGTTCCACTGCCCGATGAACACCAAACTCCAAACAAAATATCAAACTGGATAACACAGTGGCCTGACTTTGTTAACACAGAACATTTTGCTTTGGGTTACCAAGTACTTGCAGAAAGGGGAAACCTGCAAATAGAAATCTTCAAGTGCATCCAAGGAGGAACCACATATCACCATTCTCTTTCTTAAATCATCACTCAGTGGATTTTGTACACTACCACCAACTCTATGCTATGTATTATTTTAAAATGGGTCATTTGAATCTTTACAGTTATGTATCATCAGCACCCAAACTTAGATCCAGGCAATCTACAGCCACATGACTGTGTGACAATGGGTGATTATGAAACAGATTCATACTTTAAATTTTATTATGTGTTCTCAGCACTTCATTGGGAAAAGGGAAATCTTATTTCTCAAGCAAGGAATACATAGTTGCTGAATGATGGATGGAATGCTGCCATCTCTTGGTAATCTAGCACAGAAGAAAACAGTTTTTAGAAAAGTGATTTTGCATTTTTATTGGCTAAAGGCAATGCAGTTAAGAAGCATAATTCTGTTCTTCTGGTGTCAGAACAATCTATAATTTCTGTTATTATTTTTAGCATTTAATGCTTACGGTGCATATTGAAGCTATTCCCTGACAATAATACCATATTAAAAAGAATCAATCACATGGTTTCACTGGCTTAGCTTTCACAAGAAAGGTCTAAATGAGATTGGCCCAGCATCTTCTCTTATACCTTTGCTTTTTGGGATCTGTTCTGAGAATTCCCTAATAAAGTTGCAAGTTACACATGACCCCCTTTGAGCATCATCTAAGTTTTCTCTCCTCCAATATATACACCAGGCAGAGAGACAGGAAAATGGTTGACCCTTCAGTGTAGCTTTTTGTAGAATGAAAAAGCTGAGACTGGGCATGGTGGCTCAAGCCTGTAATACTAGCACGTTAGGAGGCCAAGGTGGGTGGATCACCTGAGGTCAGGAGTTTGAGACCAAATTGCCCAACATGGTGAAACCCCATCTCTACTAAAAATACAAAAATTAGCTGGGCATGGTGGCAGGTGCCTATAATCCCAGCCACTCGGGAGGCAGGAGAATCGCTTGAACCCAGGGGGCGGAGGTTGCAGTGAGCCAAGATTGTACCACTTCACTCCAGCCTGGGCAAAAGAGCGAAACTCCGTCTCAAAAAAAAAAAAAAAAAAAAAAAAGAAAGAAAGAAAAGAAAAGATAAAGAAAAAAAGAAAAAGCTGAAATTCAGAAGACCACATGTCTGTTGCACATTGGTCGTACCACTTTGGCCAAGAAAGCCAAATCTCCTCAGTTTTCTCATCTCATTGGAGACAAAATCTCTATTCTACCTACCTTGCTGTTACTATGAGGATTGAATAGAATTGCAAATGTGAACATATTTTGAAAGAGGCAAAGAACTGTGATTTGGTCAAGGATTCTCTGACAGGTAATGACATTATTCTATTTTTTATAGAATTATTAATCAATCTAAATTATTTATACTTGGCTTTTTTTCACAGTTTATTACTATTTTTCTCAGAGGTGAGTGTCTGATGTTACCAATAAAACAATATAAACAAACCAGTAGACTTATAAAAGTGGCATTATCATTCATAAGTTGGCATGTCAGGAAAAGTTATCAAAGCATCACATCAATTCACCATGGTCCCACAGTTTGATTTTGGCCACCAAAAGCAGAGCACATTCAGAATAGCTTGAGAAGTTGGGAAACTCATTCTGCCTCACCGTCATTGCATTATACCTATAGTATACCTTCCACTGCAGTTATCATCTGTTAGAGCAACTTGTTTATATTTCTATCTTTCCCCAAAGATTGGGATCCTACTTAGCTTACTAATATGTGCTGCAGCAGAGCTTAACTCAGTACCTGAGACTGAATTTGTTTATAAATATTAATTTGATGGATAAATCAAAATGGATTAAGTATTATTAGCCATTCACCATATTCTGGGTGCCAAAGAGTGAAGAAGAGTCAGTTAAAATAAAACACCAAGTGCAATCTCCACACTGGAAAAGTATACACATTTTCAGAAGAACTGAAATTATTCGAAGAGAAAATACATTGAAAAATTACTTGAGATACATCCCATCAATACCTGATTTATTGAGAGTTTGTAGCATGAAGGTTGTTGAACTTTGTCGAAGGCCTTTTCTGCATCTATTGAGATAATCATATGGTTTTTGTCATTGGTTCTGTTTATATGCTGGATTATGTTTATTGATTTGCATATGTTGAATCCCATTACTGGGTATATACCCAAAGGATTATAAATCATGCTGCTATAAAGACACATGCACACGTATGTTTATTGCGGCACTATTCACAATAGCAAAGACTTGGAACCAACCCAAATGTCCAACAATGATAGACTGGATTAAGAAAATGTGGCACATATACACCATGGAATACTATGCAGCCATAAAAAAGGATGAGTTCATGTCCTTTGCAGGGACATGGATGAAGCTGGAAACCACCATTCTCGGCAAACTATCGCAAGGACAAAAAACCAAACACCACATGTTCTCACTTATAGGTGGGAATTGAACAATGAGAACACAAGGACACAGGAAGGGGAACATCACACATGGGGGCATGTTGTGGGGTGGGGGGAGGGGGGAGGGAAAGCATTAGGAGATATACCTAATATTAAATGACAAGTTAATGGGTGCAGCACACCACCATGGCACATGTATACATATGTAACTAACCTGCACGTTGTGCACATGTACCCTAACACTTAGAGTATAATAAAAAAAAGAAAATATGACAAAGAAGTATGCTGCTTACAGTTTTCTAAAATCTGAAAATATTTTGATTAGAAATAGGTAAGTCTTATTTATTTGGAGCAATAGGTGAGTTGAGGAAACAGGGAAAACTCTATGCTTCCTATAAACTTATAAAGTGAAAAGCTATTGGCAAGTTGGTATACACCAGGGAAAGTATACTGATCTCAATAACAAATTTAATAGGTTTACTTTAATCTGTGTAGTCATACATTTGGCATATTATATTGCTATAGCTATTCATTTAGAATATCATGACATACTGTCCAGAGAATGTCAACTGGCATAAAGAAGATTCTGGGAAAAAGTGACAAGAAGAAATAATGAAATAAATTGACTAGGGGTACAAGAGATGAAACAAAACTTTCAGGAGATATGGTTTGACTCTGTCCCCACCCAAATCTCATCTTGAACTGTAGTTCCCATAATCCCCACATGTTGTAAGAGGAACCAGTGGGAGGTAATTGAATCATGGGGGCGGTTACCTCCATGCTGTTCTCATGATAGTGAGTTCTCATGAGATCTGATGATTTTATAAGGGGCTTTTCCCCCTTTTGCTTGACACTTCTCCTTGCTGCCACCATGTAAAGAAGAATGTGTTTGCTTCCCCTTACGCCATGATTGTAAATTTCCTGAGGCCTCCCAGCTATGTTGAACTGTGAGTCAATTAAAGCTCTTTCCTTTTTAAATTACCCAGTGTTGGGTATATCTTCATTAGCAGCCTGAGAACAGGCTAATGAATCAACTATATTCAAAGTTGAGAAAACGTTCCTGTGAAAGATAGTGAGAGCTGATGCACAAGTCCAGCAAACAAGAACAACTACCAGTGGAAAATAGTTACAAGGATGTATTTTCTCAACATAAAGCAAAATGAAACAGCAACCGGAACTTCTAACAGGAGTCTCGGATGATTCAATGGGCTGTCCCACGTGGAGATGAGCTTCTTGTCACCAGGTGATGGGTTCCAGAGCAGGACAGGAGAGGACAGGAGCCAAGAGCAGAATGTTGGCAAAGGGTTCCCTCACGGGGTAAGAATCTTCCCTAAGTGAAATGACAAATTGTCACTATTTCATAATAAACATAAGCTATAAATATAGGATTTTTTCAATTATATATTTGTAAATACCAGGTGGGAGATTTGCTGTTAAACTATGACTTGAGAAGGAAATGGAGGAAGCAGAACCCTCCATGGTAAAAGAAAACAGCAAACTTTCAAATATCCACACTCCCTACATATGAGTCACAGTTAGCTGCTGCAGGGTCAGCACATATGTACTAGTTTTTGTTGTGTACGATTTAACTGGGTGCCATCTGCAATCTATAGGTAAGGAGGTCGCCTTACACATAATCACTAAATGCAGTCCTTCATCAAGGTAAGTTTGTCTTATATTTAGATAAAATGATTGTAAGTGTTTGCTTTTGAGATTGTAACATCCTCTGTACCTGCTCTCCTGCCTAGTACATAATTAACCTGTCATCCCACCCTGCAGTAATAAGTGTAATAGACAGGAAATACATTAGGAAGGAACTTTTGTGCGATGTGCTTTCAAGCCCTCCTTTATCCTTCAACTATCTTTCCTTTTAATTAGCACTTGGGTAACAGTGTACCATAATGAATTACCATATTACTGTTATCAATAAAAATTATTTTGGGTCCAAAGTAGTCATTAGGATGAAATGTGTAAGACCTGTTCTGGATAGTTTGTGGGGAGATAGCAGTTGAAAATTAAGTTCTATTTTATATATGAATGTTTAAAGATTCAGAGGATTCTCAGGTTTGTAAATCCATGCTTACTAAACATAAAGATCTGAATGTATGGGAGATAAAGGAAAGAAAGTGAATGTATGCATCTGGGGAAAATACAGTACTAATATGTTAAAAAAGATATTTTCATAAGATGGCATATTTAGAAAACATATTTTCCTCTGCTACCACTCTAGAAACCTGACCAAAACAATAGCAAGAGGACTATTTGTATCACAAATACAAAGGAATGGGAGAAAAGATTATAAAAACCAAATGCTACAGTCAAGGAAGCAGAAGAATGAGTGAACCTAACTTGTCAGATATGAGCATTTTGAACACTCAGCTGGTAGTAGAGAAAACAGAGTAACACACCTTCCCCACTTCTCCCCGTATCTTCTACAAGCTTAAGAATTGGTTACATCAGGTATCTAGAGCAGTGGATGTAAAGTTGGTACTAGAAAGAAAAAGATCAGGCAAGTTTGTTTAAGAAGCTGCATCAGAAATTCCCTTGTCCTCTTGGATCAGCTAGGCAACGTCCCTCCTACACCCTGTTTGTAGGTTGGAGGTGGATATATTATCTGTGAAGAGGGTAAAAGACAGGGAACACTTGAGACATGATACTCAGAACAGCAGAGATGTGATACTCTTCTTCTGCAGTGCTCTAAGAGTATTGGCAGCCAGAATTATACCCTCCGGGCAGAAAATGTGCAGTCCAAGAGAAAAATCTTAAAGCTCACAGTGAAAAGCCGAAGTCGTTTCAACTGTGGTAAAATCTACCAACATACACCGAATATCAAATCAAACTTTTTATGTCATCTTTTTAAATAGACAGGCAATTAAAAGAAAAATAATAAGAAATCTAAGGAAGATACCATTCAAAAGGCAAAGAACAAAACAAATAGAAAGAACAACTTGGACATAGAAGAAATTCGGAAAGAAAAAGAAAGTTCCAGTCATATCCTTACTGAAATAAGGGAAAATATCACACCCCCGAACAGTTAACAAAGTGTTATGAAAAGAGAATAACCATAAGACAAGGAATATCGGAAATGAACATAGGAAGGCAACATCCCCCCAAACCCATCAGACACCAATAAGCAGATTGAACCATACAGTGATGAATAGTTGCACATATCTTCCAGAAAGCAGAAGAATGAGTGGAGGTCAGAGAATAGAAACGAAAATTAAAATAAACAGTTAAGATTACTAATCATTCAGAAGTGTTCATATATAAGTAATAAACATAAAGGTAAAATAAAATAACTTTTAAAAGATTGCCAGCAATGATTATGTGAGTTCCTAGAATGAACAGTGTCATCACGTTTCCTGTAAAATAAGTAAAAGATACTATAAGGCACAACATCATAAAATTTCACAACACTGGAATAAAAACAAAACCTAAAACTAACTATTGCTGAGATTTAAAAGGAAGAAAGTAAGCTAAGTAAAAAGATGGAGAAAGAGAAAGGCTGTAGACTTTTCAACAGCACTGCTTGAATTTAGGAGACAGGGAAATAGTGGCTTTAAAACTTTTCATAAGATGGCATATTTGGAAAACACATTTTCCTCTGCTACCACTCCAGAAACCTGACCAAAACAATAGCAGGGAACTATTTATACCACAAATTCAAAGGAATAGGAGAAAATATTATAAAAACCAAATGCTGCAGGCAAGAAAGCGGAAGAATGAGTGAACCTGACTTGTCAGATGTGAGCGTTTTGAACACTCAGCTGGTAGTAAACAGTAACACACCTTCCCAGCTTCTCCCTGTATCTCCTACAAGCTTAAGAATTGGTTATATCAGGTTATCTTCAATTTAGAATTCTTTACTCAGCCTATCTGTCACTTTAAGTATAAGGATCAATAAAAAGCATTTGTAGACATGTAGTATCATAAAAGATTTGCCTTTCATGCACCCTTTCTCAGAAAAGTAATGAAACAGTGGTTACCAAAATAAGGAAGTAAATCAGAGAATGAAAAGACATGGGATCTAGGAATCAAAGTAGATGCAGGAAATCTCCAACTTGGCAATGGAAGGAGATATTAGACCGAAAGCTACATTGAAATCCCAGAAACAGGCTGGGCACTGTGGCTTACACCTGTAATCCCAACACCTTGGGAGACTGAGGCATGAGAATCACTTGCACCCAGGAGGCGGGGGTTGCAGTGAGTCGAGATTGCGCCACTGCACTCCAGCCCGCTGAAAGAGCGAGACTCCATCTCAAAAAAAAACAAAACAAAACAAAACAAAACAAAAGTCCCAGAGACAAAACAGTTCAGACATTAGCAGGTCAGAAGGACCCAGAAAAGATTCTTCAAGAAGAGGCCGATCAAATATTTGATGTGTTTTAACAAAAATACTTAGATACCAGAGATAAGAGTGAAAATGAATTAGTGGTAAACAAAACAAAACAACAAAAAAAGAAAAAAACTATTCTTAATTCTAAGGAAACCAAGAAGTTTTACATAAAAGAAAAAGTTGTCATAGTATAATACACTGTAATTCTGATCTAATCAAAAATTATGTCATAATTATTGTGGTAGGATGGAGTGTGGGAAGTGTACATGAGAAAGGTGACCAGCAAATAAAATTAGCTCTTTCTCTTCCACAGGTAAATCAATAGAGAATGCCTCAAGTGGAAAAATCAAAACATGTCAGTGTAAGTGTAGTACTAAGAAACATGAAGATTGATACCATAGGAAGGCAAAACTATTTGAAAATTGCCATTTTCTGGAATGGCAATTGAAGAGGTGTAGAAAGGCAATCATATTTTGTATAATTAGTCTTGTAGAATTATTTGCATCTTTATGTGCTATGTGGTAAAAAGTGTTGCATGTCTATAAAATTCAGAATCATAGCTACACAGTCACTCTTTAGAAGCCTAAAGCTAGCCTCAGGGACAGAAAGACCTTGTTAGAAGATGCCAATGAACATAACGTCTTCTGTTGAGCTATTTTGAGGACACAAAGCCTCCAAGGAAGACCAAAAGTAGCCAGAGGAAGAAGCAGAATTAAGCAGGAATGTTTAAATCCCACTTCTCATTTTTATAGAATGAAAAATTTTCTCATTTTCTACTCCCCTTGAGAGAAAGCCATGGAAACACTTCCTGTGCTCTCCCATGACCTCTTCTGAAATTAGAAGAAAGCACCGAGTATATGAGGCTCAGTTACTTCTGGGAGTACTGCTTCCTTCTGCGCGTATCGCCCTCAGGACATAGGTGCCCTCTGCTAGTCCAAGGGCTGCATTCTAGACAGTGTCTGGCCCTGACTCTGCAGAGAAAGGCCTGAAGATTGTGTTATATGTTGGATTCCAGTGGGAAGGTATATTAGATAGGGTGATTATTGAAGGAGATAAATCCACATTATCCAATTCAGCTTTATTAGAAAGAAAACTGTCATTCTAGTTCCATGTGTAGGATTCAAATATCTTATTTCTCATCTGACTTCAAACTCAGGAGAAGCAAAAGAAGGTGTTTTTATTGGAACTCCCTCTCCCCACAAACCTAATAGGCCTTATTGAACAGGTGATCTATCTGTTCCAATGCCTGGAATAGAGCTCCTTGACAAGTGATGGCACTGCTTCTGGTCATGTTGAGTGTGGTGGATGCTGTGACATGCTGCTCAGTGCCCCTTTCAGAATGGAAAAACTTGATTCCCAGCTACTGAGACTGTGGCTTTCAAATTGCTGTCTTCATGAATTGCCTTACCCAAAGACATATTTTTTCCCAAGGCAAACCACATCCAGTGATTGTTTAACATGGGGGTTTCCAGGCCAAGTCCCTTACCCTAATTTGGACAATTCTGAAGAGCCATGCCAGCTTCAGAGCTTCCTAAGGAGCAAGCAGAAATCTGGATTGAAACTATATCTCAACAAAACTTTTCCCTCTGGCAAACCCTGCTTCCATCCCAATCCTGTCCAATTCTGCTTCCTTCCATAAGAGTTGATTGCATCAGTATTCAGTAATCAATTTTCTGAAGAGTTTGCTCCATTCAGAATCTGCATGCCAGAGAACTCATCCTTCAGCAATGAGTAATATGTTACTATACAGATAAATCCTCATTGGCCATTGAAGTATATAACAGTTAACACTTAGTGTTTATTAAGTGTCAGTTATCCTATTAGGCATTTTATGTGTATCAACTCTTTTGCATGCGTGAGATAACACTATAGGTAGGTATTATTATATTATCATGTCCAAGATGGGTACGCTAAATTTTAGAGATTAGTAACTTGTTACGGTCACACTGCTCACAAGCAGCTGATCCAATATTAACCAAGTTAACCTATCTACAACAACTGCCCTCCTAAGCCCCTCACTAGAGCTCTCTCTTGAAGAAAATACCAATTTCTGTAGCCCTGGACCTTTAAGATTGTGAGAAATTTGCCACAAAGAAGCTCTCTTTGGGTAAAACATTCTCTGCTCTGTACGTTTTGTCTTCGCAAGTAGACAGTTTGGACCTTACAAGCAGAATCTTAAGTTTACCTTTGTTTTCTTTATGTGAACTAATGAAAGTTAATTTTAAGACTTTGTTTCTTCAACATTAGCCAGGAATAGCTAACTTGTTTTGTAGTGCCATTACAGATGTGTAACAAAAAGTAGGCATGAGTGAGGAAAAAATGGATTTTCTCTCTTTTCCAATTTCAATAGTCCACCTTTTTTTTTTAACTTGAGATATGTATGATCCTGTCCATCGAAACCAGTTTCTTCTGAAGGAATCTGCTTTTCATCCTCACTCTTGCTCCCAGGGAGATCCCCATGGTTACTTTCAGCAGTCCAGCCCAAAGAAAATCAACCATACACTACTACTGAAAACAAATTTTGAGACGATCTATCTGTTCCAACGCGTGAAATGATTTTGGCCTTTCAGTGCCTCAAAGAGATTTGGAATATCTCAGATTTATAATATGGAAAAGCTTAACGAACTTTTATAAATTTGTTTAACTCAGCATAACGTGGTTATTCATTGAGGTGGGAGTAGGGCATTCTATCTGCACTTATAGGTGATACTGAAAAACACTCTAATACTCCACCTAAGTTATACCAACTAAAATTTTGACATAGAGCACAGCATGTTGACACAAACCTATCAGACTATCATCTGCATCTTAATCTCCTTTTTCTAACAGAGAACTTGAATATACTTGATCTCTGCTCTCTTTTTTCATTTCCAAGACTATCTTGCAATAAATTGTACTATTGCTATGCTAATCACCTTAATATTTTCTTCTCTATCTCCTCTTCCTTCTTCAGTTTCAAATTGAAATTTTTTCTATCTACTATGAATATTCCTTATGTTACAGCTGGGCAAAAAGCTTCCTACAATAGAGTTGACAAGTTAGTAGACTTACTACCTGGCTGGTTAAGCCTTACCTATTTTTTTAGTCTGGCACTGTCTAGATAGCACTTCTTTATACAAGCATAACGCGAACCACATCTGTAATTTTAGATTTTCTAGTAGCCACATTAAAATGTCCAAAGAAACAGGTGAAATTAATTCTAATAATTTGAGAGGAGGCAGAGCAAAACAGCAGAATAGAAAGCTCCAGCAATTGTTCCCCTCTCAAGGACATTAAGTTAACAACTATCTACACAGATAAAACACTTTCATAAGAACTAAAAATCAGGCAAGCCCTCATTGTACTGCTTTTAACTTCTCATCACCGAAAGAGGCTTTGAAGAGACAGAAAAAACAGTCCTGAATCACCAACACCACCCCTCACCCACCCCCGACAGCAGCAGTGTGATGCAGAGAGCCTCTCTGGGTGCTGGGGGAGAACACAGCAATTGTGAGGCATTGAACTCAGTGCTGTTCTGTTAGAGCAGAAAGGAAAACCAGACCAAACTCAGCTGATGCCTGCTCACAGAGGGAGCTTTCAAACCAGCCCTAGCCAGAGGGGAATTGCAGATCCCAGTGGTCCAAACTTGAGTGCCTACAAACCTCACCACCGAGGGCTACAGCACGCTGTATCACCAAGTAAACTTGAAAGGCAGTCTAGGCCAAAAGGACTGCAACTATTAGGTGAGTCCCAGTGCTGAACTAGGTCCAGAGACAGTGGACTGAGGGGACACGTGACATACTGAGACACCAGCTGGGGAAGCCAAGGGAATGCTGGCATCACCCCTCCTCTAAACCAGGCTGCATAGCTCA
Source organism: Homo sapiens (assembly GCF_000001405.40). Taxonomy (NCBI): domain Eukaryota; kingdom Metazoa; phylum Chordata; class Mammalia; order Primates; family Hominidae; genus Homo; species Homo sapiens. The sequence goes on along the minus strand of NC_000002.12, from coordinate 21,617,841 downwards.
AGGCTCCAAAAGAAACCCCTTTCTTCTGCTTGAGGAGAGAAGAGGGAAGAATGAGAAAGATTTTGTCTTGCATCTAGGATACCAGCTCAGCCACAGCAGGATAGGGCACTGGACAGAATCATGAAGTCCCTGTTCCAGGCCCTAGCAAACAGACATTTCTAGACACATCCTGGCCAGAACCCACTGCCTTGAAGGAAAAGACCCAGTGCTGGCAGCACTCATCATCTGATAACTGAAGAGCCCTCGGGCCCTGAATAACCAGCAGCAATACCCAGGTGCTACATCGAGGGCTCGGGTGATCCTCTGAGACTTGATGGCTTCAGGTAAGACTCAGCACATCACCACCCTTGGTGGCTGTGGAGCAAAACTCCTTCTTGAGAAAAGCAGAGGGAAAAGTAAATGGGAATTGTTCTTGCGCCTTAGGCACCAGCACAGCCACAGGTGAGTAGAGCATCAAGTGGGCTCTTGGGGTCCTCGATTCCAGGACTTGATGTTTGGATGGTTTTTTTGGACCTGTACTGGGCCAGAGGGGAGCTCACTGCCCCGAAGGGTAAGTCCTAGGCCAGGCAGCATTCATGACAAGCTGACTTAAGAGACCTTGTGCCTTAAGAGACGATGGCGGTAATCTGGTAGTACTCTTTGTGGTCTGGGGTCATGGTGGCTACGGGGTGAGGCTCCTCTGCCTTTGGAAAGCAGAAGAAAGAGTGGGAAGGACAGCATATTGTGGTTTTAGTGCCAGCTCAGCCACAGTATAATAGAAAACTGGGTAGACTTCTAAGGTTTCTGACTCTAGTCCTTTACTCCTGGATGGCACTTCTGGACCCACCTTGCCACCCTGAAGTGAAGGACACAGGCCTAGCTGGCTTTGCCACCTGCTGATTGTAGAGCCCCAGGGTATTAAGTGAACATAGGCAGTATCCGTGGAGTAGGCCTTGGGCAAGACCCAGGGCTGTGCTGGCTTTAGGTCTGACCCAGCACAGTAATAGTGGTGGTGCCCACAGGGAGGCTTGTGTCACTCCACCCACAGCCTTAGGTGGCTCACAAGAGAGAGACTGTATGTTTTGGAAAAAGTAATGGAAGAGAACAAGAGTCTCTGCTTGGTAATCAAAAGAATTTTAGCATATCTTGTCCAAGACCATCAAGGCAGTATGTCAATGTGTCTGCAAGAACCACAGTGTTATTGGGCTTAAGTTACCCCCTAAGGTAAATACAGCTTGGATCACAACACTCAAGTCCTTTCAAATATCTAAAAAGTCTTCCCAAGGAGGATGGCTACAAATTAGCCAAAACAGTAAAGACTACAATAAATACCTTACTCTTCAATACCTAGGAAAAAAAAAAAAATAAAAAAGAACATCTACTAACATCAACACTATCCAGGAAAACATGACCTCACCAAATCAACTAAATAAGGGACCAGGGACAAATCCTGAAGAAACAGAGATATGTGACAATTCAGACAGATAATTAAAAATAGTTGTTTTGAGGAAACTCAAAAAAATTCAAGAGAGCACAGAGAAGGAATTTAGAATTCTATCAGATAAATTTAACAAAGAGTGCAAAATTATTAAAAACAATCAAGCAGAATTTCTGGAGCTGAAAGAAGAATGCCTTAGAGTCTTTTAATAGCAGAATTGATGAAGCAGAAGAAAGAACTAGTGAGTTTGAAGACAGGCTATCTGAAAATATACAGTTAGAGGAGACTACAGAAAAAATAATTTAAAAAAATGAAGCATGGCTATGGGATATAGAAAATTACCTCAAAAAGGCAAATCTAAGAGATATTGGCCTGAAAGAGAAAGTAGAGAAAGACATAGGGGTATGAAGTTTATTCAAAGGGATGAAAACAAACAACTTCCCAAACCTAGAGAAAGATATCAATATCCAAGCACAAAAAGGTTATAGAATACCAAGTCCATTAAATCAGAGAAGATTACCACTAGGCATTTAGTAATCAAACTCCCAAAGGTAAAAGATAAAGAACGGATTTTAAGAGCAGCAATATAAAAGAAACAAATAACATACGATAGAGTGCCAATACATCTGTTAGCATATTTTTCAGTAGAAATCTTACAGGCAAGGAGAGAATGGCATGACATATTTAAAGTGCTAAAGGAAAAAAATCTTTTACTCTAGAATAGTATATCCAGTGAAAAATATCCTTCAAACATGAAGGAGAAATAAAGGAAGACAAACAAAAGCTGAGGGATTTATCAATACCAGACCTGTCCCATAAGAAATGCTAAAGGGAGTACTTCAATAAAAAAGAAAAAGACACTAATTATCAATAAATAATCACCTGTATGTACATAACTCACCAGTAATAGTAAGTATACAGGACAACACAGAATATTATAACACTGTAACTGTGGTATTGTAAACTAATTTTATCCTAAGTAGAAAGAATAAATGATGAACCAGTCAAAAATAATAACTACAATAGCTTTTCAAGATATAGTCAGTACAGTAAGATATAAATAGAAACAGCAAAAAGTTGAAAAGTCGGGGGACAAAGTTAAGGTGTACAGTTTTTATTAGTTTTCCTTTTGCTTGTTTGTTTATGCAAATAATGTTAAGTTGTAATCAAGTTAAAATAATGGGTTATAACATAGTATTTGCAAGCTTCATGGTAATCTCAAACCAAGAAACATACAATGGATACACAAAAAATTAAAAGTAAGAAACTAAGTCATATCACCAGAGAAAATCACCTATACTAGGGGAAAACAGGAAGGAAAGAATAAAGAGAAGACCATAAAACAACTAGAAAACAAATAACAAAATGGCAGTAGTAAGTCCTTACTTATCAATAATAACACTGAATGTAAATGGACTAACCTCTCCAATCAAAAGACATAGGCTCTGACTGAATGAATGAAAAAACAAGACCCATTGATTTGTTGCCTACAAAGAATACATTTCAGCTATAAAGACACACATAGACTGAAAATGAAAGGATGAAAAAAGATGTTTCACGCCAATGGAAACCAAAAAATGGGCAGGAGTAGCTATACTTATATCAGACAAAATAGGTTTCAAGACAAAAACTTCAAAAAGAGACAAAGAAGTTCACTACGTAATGATAAAAAGGACAATTCAGCAAGACAGCAGGAGGATGTGACAATTTTCAATATATCTGTACCCAACACTGGAGCACATAGCTATATAAAGGAAATATTTTTAGAGCTAAAGAGATAGATAGGCCCTAGTACAATAATAGCTAGCGCCTTCAACATTCCACTTTTGTCATTGGACAGATCTTCCAGACATAAAATCAACAGAAACATCAGACTTAATCTGCACTATAGAACAAATGGATCTAATGGATATTTACAGAATGCTTTATCCAAGAGCTGCAGAATACACATTTTTTTCTTCAGCATATGGATCATTCTCAAGGACAGACCATAGGCTATGTCACAAAACAAGTCCTAAAACAAGTTAAAAATTGAAATAATATCAAGCATCTTCTCTGACCACAATGCAATAAAACTAGAAATTAATAATAAGAGGAATTTTGGAAACTATACAAATATATAGCAATTAAAACAATATGCTCTGAATGACAAGTGGGCCAATGAAGAAATTAAGAAGGAAATTGAAAAATGTCTTGAAATACAACATAATGGAAACACAACATACCAAAATCTGTGTGATACACCAAAAGTAGTACTAAGAGGGAAGTTTATAGCTATTAGTGCCCACATTAAAAAAGAGGAAAACTTCAAATGAATGATCTAATCATGCATCTTAAAGAACCAGTAAAGCAAGAGCAAACCAAACCGAAAATTAGTAGAAGAAAAATAATGAGGATCAGACCAGAAATAAATGAAATTAAAATAAAAATAAACATTACAAATGAACCCAAAAGCTGATTTCTTGAAAAGTTACACGAAATTGACAAACCTTTAACCAGACTAAGAGAAAAAAAGAGAGAAGATCTAAATAAACAAAATCAAAATGAAAAAGGAGACATTACAGTTGATACTGCAGAAATTCAAAGGTTCATTAGCAGCTATTGTAAGCAACTATATGCCAATAAATTAGAAAATCTGGAAGAAATGGATGAATTCCTGGATACATATAACCTACTCAGATTGAACCAGGAAGACATCCAAAGCCTGACCAGACTTATAACAATGATATCAAAGCTGGAATAAAAATCTCCCAATAAAGAAAAACTCGGGACCTAATTGCTTCACTGCTGAATTCTACCAAACGTTTAATGAATAACTTACACCAATTCTACCCAAATTATTCCAAAAAACAGAGGAGGAGGGAATACTTCCAAAATCATTCTATGAGGCCAATATTACCCTGATACCAAAACCAGACAAAGAAACATCAAAGAAAGAAAACTACAGGCCAACGTCTTTTATGACTATTGATGCAAAATCCTCAACAAAGTACTAGCAAGACAAATTCAGCAATACATTAGAAAGAGTATTCATCATAATCAAGTGGGATTTATCCCTGGGATGCAAGCATGGTTCAACATATGCAAATAAATTAGTATGATACATCCTATCAACAGAATGAAAGATAAAAGCCATATGAGAATTTCAACTGATGCCAAAAAAGCATTTAATAAAATTCAACATCTCTTCATGATTAAAAATCCTCAAAAAAATTGGGGATAGAAACAACACAACTCAACATAATAAAAGCCATATACGACAGACCCACAGCTAATGTCAAACTGAATGAGGAAAAACTGAAAGCCTTTCCATTAATATCCAGAACATGCCAAGGATGCCCACTGTCACCATTGTTATTCACCACAGTACTAGAAGACTTAGCTAGAGCAATCAGACAAGAGAAAATATAAAGGTCATCCAAATTGGAAAGGAAGATGTGAGATTATCCTTGTTTGAAGATGATATAATCTTATATTTGGAAAATCCTAAAGAGTACACAAGAAAAGTGTTAGAACTGATAAAGAACTTTAGTAAAGTTGCAGGATACAAAATCAACATGCAAAAATCAGTAGCATTTCTATATGCCAACAATGAACAATGTGAAAAAGAAATAAAAAAGTAATCCCATTTACAATAGCCACACATAAAATTAAATAACTATGAATTAACTTAACCAAAGAAGTGAAAGATCTCTATAATAAAATACATAAAACACTAATGAAATAAATTGATTAGGACACCAAAAAATGGAAAAATATTCCATGTTCATGGATTGTAAGAATCAATGTTGTTAAAATGTCCATACTACCCAAAGCAATCTACAGATTCAATGCAATCCCTATGAGAATACCAATGATATTCTTCACATAGGGCAAACCTACCTAAGATTTATATGGAACCACAAAAGAGACCCAGAATAGCCAAAGCTATCCTAAGCCAAAAAAAAAAAAAAAAAAAAACTGGAAGAATTATATTACCTGACTTCAAATTATACTACAGAGCTATAATAACAAAAACAGCATGGTACCAGCATAAAATCAGACACATAGACCAATGGAACAGAATAGAGAACCTAGAAATAAATACACACACCTATAGGGAACTCATTTTTGACAAAAGTGCCAAGAACATACACTGGGGAAAAGACAGTCTCTTCAATAAATGATGTTAGGAAAACTGGATATCCATATGCAGAAGAATTAAACTAGACTCCTATCTCTTGCCATATATAAAAATCAAATAAAATCAAAATTGATTCAAGACATAAATCTAAGACCTCAAACTATGAAACTACTACAAGAAAACATTGGGGAAATTCTCAAAGACATTGGTCTGGGAAAAGATTTTTTGAGCAATAGCCCAAAAGCATAGGCAACCAAAGCAAAAATGGACAAATGGGATCACATCAAGTTAAAAAAAGTGTCTGCACAGCAAAGGATACAATCAACAAAATAAAGAGACAACCCACAGAATGGGAGAAAATATTTGCAAACTACCCATCTGACAAGGGATTAATAACCAGAATATATAAGGAGCTCAAACAACTCTACAGGAAAAAACATCTAATAATTCTATTTAAAAAATAGGCAAAAGATTTGAATAGACATTTTGCAAAAGAAGACATACAAATGTCCAACAGGCATATGAAAAAGTGCTCAACATCATTGATCATTAGAGAATGCAAATCATATGTATACATGTGCCATGTTGGTGTGCTGCACCCGTTAACTCGACAATGAGATAGCATCTCACCCCAGTTAAAATTGCTTATATACAAAAGACAGGCAATAACAAATGCTGGCGAGGATGTCAAGAAAAGGGAACCCTTGTACACTGTTGATAGGAATGTAAGTTAGTACAACCAGTATGGAGAACAGTTTGGAAATTCCTCAAAAATCTAAAAATTGAGCTACTGTATGATCCAGCAATCCCATTGCTGGGTATATACTCAAAAGAAAGGAAATCAGAATATTGAAGACACCTGCATTCCTATTTGTTGCAGCACTGCTTACAGTAGTTAAGATTTGGAAGTAATGTAAGTTTCCATCAACTAATGAATGGATAAAGAAAATGTGGTACATATACATAATGGAGTACTATTTAGCCAGAGAAAAGAATGAGATCCAGTCATTTGCAACAACATGGGCGGAAGTGGAGATCATTGTGTTAAGTGAAATAAGCCAGGCACAGAAAGATGCACATCACATGTTCTCACTTATTTGTGGGATCTAAAAATCAAAACAATTGAACTCACTGACAGAGAGTAGAAGAATTGTTACCAGAAGCTGGGAAGGGTAGTTGGGAGCTGAGAGGAAGGTGGGAATAGTTAATGGGTACAACAAAATAGAAAGAATGAATAAGACCTACTATTTGACAGTACAGTAGGGTGACTGTAGTCAATAATAACTTAATTGCACATGTTGAAATAAAGAGTGAAATTGGATTGTTTGTAACTCTAAGGATAAATGCTTGAGGGGATGGATATCCCATTGTCCATGATGTACTTATTTCACATTGCGTGCCTGTACCAAAACATCTTAGGTACCCTATAAATATACACACATACTATGTATCCACAAAAATTAAAACAAAATAATTAATTTTAATAACTTGTCGGTTAGCCCTAGATATCCAAAATACTGCTGTTACAACAACCAGTATAAACATTAGTATATAATATTTTACATCCTTTTTAATACTAAATCTTTGAAATTGCATGTGTATTTTATACTTAATAGATTTACTCATTCATACCAGCCACATTTCAAGTGCTGAATGGCACATGTGGCTGGTGGCTACTGATTGGAAAGTGTTAAGTATAGGGTCTGGACTAAGAACATGACCAAATCTTTTCCTTAAACAGATCTGCCAAATACACAAGGACCACTTCCTGTACTGAACACACAAATACTGCAACATTTCCAGTGTCTCAACTACACCTGACCTCGCTGTTTTGCCGTCCAAGCCTAAGTCCATATTTGTCCCAACATGACCTTGGTTCTTTAACTTTATGAAAGTTATTTATTAATTTGCTCCTGCAACCTGTAACCAATAATCATCTATTTCAAAAGGCAGAAATTTTGCATACTCTTCAACGAGAAAATAATAAATCAGTCATCTATATATCAGAGTGAAGCATATAGAACAGGTCAACACTCCACATCCTGTTTCTATCCTTGGTTTACCCTCTTAGAAGTTGTCTAACTCTCAGAAGTTGCCTGAATCCTGTTTACTACTTTAGAATAGCAATTTAGGTGATGCTTCTTTCTCTAGAACCTGCTGTGATTGCTTACCCTCCTATGCCACTTCTCAAATAACTGCCAAAACCTAAAAGGAGAACTCAGATGGCCTCCAGGCTTTAGAATTTCAGACAGGAAGAACAGTAGAAGTACTTCTCTTCAATCATTATTCTTTTTGCAGAAAATCAACAAAACTCAAGAGTAAACAAGGTTTTTAGGCTCCTTCTTTTCACACTTCTTGAGATGGTGCTAATTTTATGTTTGCACAGGTGTATCTTAGTAGTTTGTCTGAATGTATGTTTGCATTTTTTATGTATCCTTCTCCACGGAGCTCAGAGATGAGCTGAATCTATTCATCATGTATGCACGTCATTGGCATTGTGGTAGTAGCATTTTTTTCTGCCAGATTTAACATATAATACAGAAGTGTACATACATAGAGTGCTGGTTTATTTTCCAGTATTACTAGGAAATTGTCTATTTTATATAAACGACGTTTCTGTATAGTTTAAGTGCCATTTGATTTCTTCTGTTTCCTGGCACTATGCTATGTGATATAAAGAGTTTACAGAATTTACAGCAACCCTGCAAAGTATCTATCTCCATTTTACATATACGGAAATTGGGTCCAGAGCAGTGAAGCACATTTGGACTTGGAACTGCTACTTATGCATTGTGTTAACTTAGATTTTAACCATTATACTGCATTGTCTATATGCAGAAACCCTCACTGTTCCACTACTTCTAGTATTCTCTCCTAAGAAGCTTAACTTTACAAACCACATTAAGTCTCCTCTGCTATAAAGGTTGTGTCATATCTCACCAAAAAGCAAAAGGGTACAGGATTTGTGAGAGCTCTTTTTGTTCTTAGAAATCTGTTTAACCAATTTCGATCACTTTGTGTGGATTGGATGGCTGGAAATATGGCCTATGGGCAAATGAGGCATGTCTTTATGACTTATTCAGAAGGAGAAATGGAACTAAAGCTCAGTCCTCTAATTCTTGAATGAGAAGTGAAGCATTTCTAGTGATGGGAGTTGCTGAAGATGAATAAGTAGCTCAGCTCAGATAATTTAAATATTTCCTGGGTTATCATTATCCTCAAGAAATCATGTAAATATTTATCTATTGATCAATATGTATACAATGTACACATATATGTATGTATTTAAATACACACATATTCCTTTGAATACAAATGTGACACAAGCATTCTGTTATATTTTGAGTCCCTCCAGAAAACTCCAGCATCTTTGGTTAGCCAGGCATTCATATTCTTGCCAGATTCCCCATTTAGCAAATAGTATAGCTTTGGGTCAGTGGTGAGGGCTATAGTTATAACTTGTAGTAGGTACAGAAAACTAGATATTGTATCCAAGTAAAACAAACTACTTGTAAGTAAATAAAATTGTGATTTTGATTTCATTCCTACCATGAATTTTTTATGCATCTCGAGAAAATATTGTCATAATCAGAGACACCACAATAACTAAAAATGAAGAAAATTGGTATTAGATTTAAAAGAATGCATTTATTTAATCAATCAAAAAGTATTAACTAAGCTCTTACAGCATACAAGATTTTACAGAAGGACTAATATTAAGAATAGGGAACACGGTCTTCATGTATAATAGTTAAGCATAGAAAGAACTAAAATCAGGAAAATAAGAATTTAAGTGTTTTTTCAAATTTTGTGTAACACCCAAGCTAGAATCACTATCATACCATATAGATAGGATCCCCTTGTCCTCAATAATGGAGGGACTTCCCAGAGCCTTGGCATGGCAGAGAGGCTGAAGGAGGAGCCACAGTTCTGAGGGTCCCCAGCAACAAGCCCACAACCATTGGGGACGGAATACGATGGCCTTCTCTGAAAATGCAGCTCATACAACATTGGCTTGGTATACATGGGCTCCTGGTCTCTCACTGCCATTAAAATTTCCTGTGAACTATGTAATACATTTTTAAAAATACAAATTTCACTCCACTCACATACGCACACAAACTTGAACCCTCATCAGTGATCTACTGATAAGACTACTTTCTTTTCTACAGTCATCCCAGATACATTCCTTTCTGTACATTGTGTATTAAAGATGGGCATATTTTATTTCATTTTTGTATTTTGCCTCTGCTCATGCAAAAGATGTAATCTGTTTCCCTTTGCCTTAAATTTTAGCTGGTCCTGTGACTTCCTTTGATCAATAAGATGCATCAGAGGCGACAGGGTGTAATTTTCAAGGGTGGGCCTCTTTAACTTCTGCTTTCTCGTAGATGGAATTCTGCTCCTGGAACCAGCCACCATGCTATGCAGAGCTGAATCCATGTAGAAAGCTAGCAAGAGGATTCAAGGAGCCCTGGCTGACAGCTGAGCTGAGCTCTGTCCTGTAGCCAGCACTGACAGCCAGCTATGTAATTGAGCCATCATAGACATTACCGTCTCATTGTGCCTTCGGAAGATGACAGCCCCAGTCAATACCACACAGAGCGGAAGAACTACCCAGCTGAGACCAGTCCTACACCGAATTGTGAAAGATGATAAATGGTCATTGTTCTCAGCTATTACATTTTCAGAGTCATTTGTTATACAGGGATAAATAACCAAATCACCCTCCATTTCTATTCAGCTTTTAGCTTCAATCTAGACCCTCAGTATCCTCAGTTTTTGGAAGTATACTCGCAAGCATTTGGCACATAATAAAGGCTCAGTGAATATTAAATATGTGTGTGTATATATACAATCCACTTCTATACACCACAAGAAAGTTGTTTTACAAAAACTAACTGGTAACTGCATGTTCTTAGTGCTTTTAGACCACCCCGGGGACATCATAATTCTTCCTTAACCTCTGCAATACCAATTTAGAGGAACAGTGGAAGGAAGTGTTGCTGCACATGTTCTCATATGCTCCTGCTACTTCCATTTCTCACCAGTGTCTCATGATCCTCTCTAGGCTCCACACCAATATATGCAGCTGAGTTTCTTGTGGGTTTCCAATTGTCAGCTCTAGGAAAGAATGTTTTCTTTCCTGAAATGAGATTGTCTCTATGACCTAAACTCCAGGGTTCAAGAACAAAGGACCCTGACAGTGGAGGCTGCCAAAGTCACTTGCCAAAATACTGCAGAGAGCATTAGTCCATTTTAGAGGCTTGTTCAATGTGTAGAACATTCCAAAGATAATCATAGATTAACATCTTTCATTCAATGCAATTTTTTCTTCTATTTTAATAAGTCTCGGATCTTCCTTATACACGTTAAACCACAGGCATCTCTCTTCATGTTTTCACCATCCCAGAAATATTAAAGACCCTTCCTAGGAAGTCTTTTGATGAATTGCTTAAACAATATGTCCCACATCTGGAGAGTTCCTTATAATATTCAAAGTACTTTATATATATACCATCTCTTTTATGTCAGTCTCTTCATGAATAGAATTCTAGCTTTGGGTCTTTTAAGGTCTGCCTTCCATGGAGGCTAATTGTGTGAGGACTATTGATCTAGCAGATGTTTGTCTGCTTCTTTCAGATGTTTCTCCAGTCCATTGTCTTTGCTCTCAGGCATTTGTAAAGGCAGGAAATATACAGACATATTTTATTCTAGGACTTGTAGTAGCTAATCATTTTCAAAACAATCATTTTGAAAAAGTAATGGCATCATTGATGCTTTACAATTATGCAAATCTAAGAGAGGGGAAGTACTGCCATTACTTCCTTCTGCCGTAATGCCATAAAAGCACAAGATTTTCGAGTGGAGTTGGATGTCAAGTATGTCCAGGTGAGTCACCTGATTAATCAGCATCAATAAACTCCATAGTCTCTTGCTCCAATTGCGTTACTGACAGTGAAAACTCTGCCTTTGATGCTGCTTGCGTGTTTGAGAAATACTACCATCATTACAAAATTAAGTCACTTTGAACTCAAGTGTCTCAGCTAATTGTGTAATGTGACTTTATTCACTCCTTGCCCCCAACATCACTCTCCTCTAAGCACTTCCATGAAGAATTTTTTGTCATTCACGCATCTTTTTAAACCCAATACCACTTTCTGCTCTCACTCCCAAGGGAGTGACTGTGGTGAGAAGAAACTGAGAAGAAATGAAAGAATAACTCACAAAGCAGAACCCTGGAGAGAAACCTCACCACATCATACTGCATTTGTTCCCAGATAAGGCTTTGACTTCAAATCCCAACTCTGACACTTGGTATACTATTTAAACCAACTGACTTCCCAATTTCCTTATTTATAAACCAGAATAATAATAGTACTTAATGCATAGAATTGTTATAATATGGCATATATCCTGCGCTTAGCACATAGGTGTTCAACAAATTGTTATTAATCTAACATTGCACAATTAATACATAGGCAGGTGGCATGTGCCATCCTCTCTGCCAGGCACTGACAAAAAGGACAGGATACAGTTTTGCAATGCAGGGACGTGAAGTTTACTTGGGGAAGTGTGATAGTTATTTTATGTGTTCACTTGACTGGGCTAAGAGATGCCCAAAACAACGGGTAAAATATTATTTCTGGATGTGTCTGTGAGGGTGTTTCCAGAAGAGATTCGCATTTGAATCAATAGACTAAGTATAGAAGAACTGTCTTTATCAATGTGGGGGGGCATCATTCAATCCACTGAGGGCAATGATAGAACAAAAAGGCAGGGGAAGGGTGACTTCCTTCTCTCTGTTTGAACTGGGGCATCTACCTTCTCCTGCCCTCAGAGATCAGTGCTCATCTTTCTCAGGCCTTGAGACTGACTGAGAATTACCCACCAGTTTTTCTGGTTTTCCAGCTTGCAGATGGTAGATCATGGGACTTCTTAGCCTCCATAATTGCATAAGAAAATTCTCATAGTAAATATTCACATCAAATATCATAAGAATTAAGAATACAAGGGAAGCTCACACTGAGTGGGAAAGTGGTCAGGGAAGTCTTCTTAGAGGTGTCAGACTTCAAATGAAGGACAAATTTTTCATAAGTGGAGAGAAAGAGGAGTGGAATCTATGAAAGCAGAATTTGGAGAACATGGTTTACATAAAAGATCTCACTTTGAACAAAGATTTGGATGTGTTTAATGTGTTTGGAACAAGGTGTACTGATCAGCCTCTGATATTCCATCCATCCGTAAAGTAAGACTCTAGAGCTCCAGTGGATCACTGTACTCTCTTACAGCTTTGAAGTCCAAACAGGTATAAGTAAACCTTAGCAGCCAATGACACAATACAAAAGAAAGTGCTAGGAAAGCATGCCGTGAGGAAGACACAGGTAAACATTGAGCTGCATAATAGGGGACATCCTTACCTGAGTGTGGGCACTTCCACCACCCGATGGGGTCTTGGACAAGAATGAGAAGAACTATCTTACAGATGTTCATGAATACGTATTAGAACTATGCATCCTTACACTCAACCGTACATCCCGATTTTGTTAATTTCTGCTCATTTCATCATCCCTGATACACTTGGCGAGTGCTTTTGCATTGAATTAATGAAATCATAAGTTTGGCAAATATGATATTAACTAGAATTATTATTAGAAATAAGTTCTTTTTTGTGTTCAGAGGCCAAACCAGTTTGGGAACAGGATGAGTGTTACCTTTCCATTTCAAGAAGATTCCAAAGGCCAACATTCCTAATACTGTGCATAGCTACATACCATGCCTTATTTCACCTAAAGCACAGCAATAATTTAGCAGTCATTAAGCAATGATTATATGCTTAATGCATATAAATTCTAGAATTTTAGAATTAAAAAGAAACCTAGAAATTACCTAACCTATTTCCCAAATTAGGCTATACCATCAGGTTCCTCCATTTCTAAATGATGTCTTACAAAGGAGGACAATCTTAGCCAAAGCATTAAGCATATACTACAACAACAGAAAATAAAATATTTTATGGCTAGGGAGAAAAGAACCATTTTGATCATGGAACAATGTATTTAAATTTATTTTTAAGTCATTTTGGCTGGATGGTGTTTATCAAGAGACTATGGATGAAGGTGGATTGGGTGTTGTGGGAAAGCAAGGGCTTCTTGCAGCCAACAGACTCAAGACACATTTTCCTCAATACTATTTTGGACTTTATTCCCCCCATAAGCTTTCAAATTTCAATCACTACCCCACTGAGTCTGGGGAGAAATTGATAAAGAAAATAATATAGCAGACAATCACAAGTGAATTGAATTTGAGCACAATTGAGATGAACTGCAGTGTTTAAAAATAGAACCATTTCAGAAATGGGCTTAAGGGAGAGCTTTTTTCCTCTTATGTGTTGCTTAAATGTTTGAGACCAGAAAGAAGAGAAGGAATTAGAAGGGCGGCAGATGGGGGGCGGGCTGGGGAGAGGTTATGAACTAACTTGGCTAAATGTTTATTTCATTCTTCTCAGCTTTTTCATTTTGGGGACATTTCTTCCAACTACCTGAGCTGCATTAGAAGGGGAAATTGTTAAAATAAAATGATGTCGCCTATAATCACAGGTGAATTGGATTTTTCCACATGGGCTGTGGTGCGTAAAAGCCTTTTCTTCTTAAGACACACACACACACACACACACACACATTATACGTGTGTGTGTGTGTGTGTGTGTGTGTGTATTACTGAAGTCTTGTGGAGGGAAAAACAGAATCACAAATTCATAGAATCTTAGAACTGAAAAGGAACCTAGAAATTACCTAACCTATTTCCCAAATAGGGCTGTACCATCAGGTTCCTCGAGAGAACTTAAAAAATATTATTTCCTGATCCTACTCAAGGCTGAATCAGACTCCCTAAGGCTGAGACTCCAGCATGGGTAGTTTAAAAGCTCTCCAAAAACCTTTAAAGAAGCCAGACTAATGTCTAAAGCTACTGATTTAATGCACCTCTCATGATTTATAGAAAAGGAAACCAAATCTCTGAAAGGAGAATTCACGTGGATATTAAGGGACAAAGCGAAAAACTGAATTCAGTGTTCCTGGATTCTGGTACATTGGACTTTCTACTACTCCAAAAAGAAAGTGATAAAGGATTGTAGATGTCCCCAGAATAATTTAGACTAAAAGAATCTCCTTAGGAAAGTGTGGGTGTCTCAGCTGACAACATGTGCGATTCCCCATCATAGCAGTACCAGAGACCAGATAAGAAGTGCCTGACCTGAACTGTGGAAACCAATGCTGCCTTAATTAGAATCTGTAGTACCATGTCTCGGCTTTGGTCTTTTGGAGTGCAGGCTCATCAGACAATGATCATTTCTTCACTTACTGGACAATACAATTTACAGGTTTCAGTCCTGAAATAAGCTCAGGCCAGACAATGTGAAGATACAGGTGCAAGGCTGTGCCCACAAGACAGTGCTAGGCTCACACCTGTAAATATTTAAAGAATAAGCCAAATCAATATTTTCTGCAAATAACTCTTCTAATTTAGGAAGCTGATTGTGCCAATAATGTATTCTCAGAATTCGTAGTGACTTTAAAAATTATTTAAACTTTCACCAAGGCAGGAAACTGGACCACAACATCCATGTGATGTGGTGGGCTAGACTCCACTTGGGCATGTTTACTGAGGGGTAGTCCACTCTTTCGTTGTAGACAACAAATTAGACAACCTATTTTGTTGTCTCATCTCTTGTTTTCTAGAAAACATTTTCCCCTTTTAATGAAATTTTCTTCTGTGCAATTTCCAAACTCGTATGCTCCCTCCAGAAGTGTTTATTTTCTTAAAATAAATTTGTTTCTGGTACCAAGTAGCAGCTCCTAAAATATTTGCAGAAAGCTATTAAGTGACCCTCTTCCACTCCCCTGCCTCAAACAAACAGAAGTACTTCTTCTGACTTTTGCTATGACCCCAGCATGTTAGTCTGCTCTTTATATTACTAATGTAGTCATTCAATGCATAATTATGTCTCAGTCAACGAAGGACCACATACAGTGTGGTGTTCCCATAAGAGTATAATACTGTATTTTTGCCAAACCTTTTCTGTATTTAGCTGTGTTCAGATGCACAAATATACCATTATGTTCCAGTTGCCTACAGCATTTAATACAGTAACATGCTGTCCAGGTTTGTAGCCTAGGAGCAATAGGCTACACCACATAGCCTAGGTGTGCAGTAGGCTATACTATCTAGGTTTGTGTATGTATACTTGATGATGTTCACACAATGATGAAATTGCCTAATGACACATTTCTCAGAACTTATCCCCATAGTTAAGCAACACGTGGCTATACAGTACTCATCATATGACAACTGACTGTACAGGACCTCCCTCAGCCCTAGACTCTGGTCTCCTTGAGAGCAGATGCTGTGATGTAGTTGTTCATCCCTGCATCTCTATTCCCCAGCATAATGTGTGACATACACCAAGTATTTAAATGTTTTGGTAATTGAATCAAACCTCATCCTACTTTCAAGCTACTTCTTTGGTATAAATACCTTAAATTCCTTGAAATTCTAGGCTCCTTGACATAAGTTTGGTTTTGTTCATTATTATACTGTAACACCTATCACAGAGTACTCCCATTAATGTGAATTAATTTGACAATGTTTTTCAGATGCTTCATAAATCTTATTAGTTTCTTCTTCTGGACACATGCCTCTTTAAAGTCTCTTTTAAAAAATCACTACAACCCTGAATGAGGTCTTGAGACAAGTGGAATTGTTGTTTTCCTTGAGTTTGACATTGTGCAGCCCCAATTTATTTGAGTTTTCAAATAGTCACCTTGTGGCTTTGGTTCAGACTAAACTTACAGTTTGTGAAATCTGAAAGTCCTTTTCTCAGAAATATTTGTAATGATATTTTCCAAATCTTGAAAAACAATGACCAATTTTAATTTTAACTAAAATACAGACCTAAAAACTTAATATAGCATAATGACTAACTTCTCAGGTTCAAACCGTGGTTCTGCCACCTATTAATTATGTGACTCTGGGCAAATTGCGCCTCTTTTCTGAACATCAGCTTCCTTATCTACAGATTAGGCATAATTATAGAAACTTCATAGGTATTTTTCCACTTAGTAAATGAGATAGTGCATAAACCTACTTTCTTCTATGTCTAGCACAGAATAAACACTAAATATATGTAATTTGTACATGTTTCAGCCTATTATTTTAGTTTGGCAAAATTATTTGAGCCCTATCTGTCAAATGGCTTCTTAAATTGACCTCCTAAATTTGAACCAAATAAAAATGTAATTAGTCTGCCTCTAGTGCTTTCAGTCATGGCATTGATTGAAGAGAGAGAGAAAGGGTAGGGGCTCTTATTCAAGTTATCTTAGTCACATTGATTCACAGTTTTTGATGAATTTGCCCAATCACTTATATAAAAGAATCTGCAACATATACCATAAGCCTTCATTCTCTTCTTCCCTATAAATTTATTTTCATTAGGTCAACTAATGTGCTAGCAAACCATTGTGCAGAGATATAGGTTTGTTCTGCTACCAAGCACATATCCTGTATTTCGTGTTGATGCAGAAAGGCAAAACTAGTTGTCTTCAGATTGATACAGGGGATATTTAAAAATTTAGATCA